>NW_011332687.1:300000-460100 GCF_000001405.40 Homo sapiens
CCCACCTCAGCCTCCCAAAGTGCTGGGATTATAGGCATGAGCCACTGCGCCTGACCCATTCTGTCTTTTAATTGGGGAATTTAATCCATTTACATTCAGGATTACTATTGATAAGTAAGGACTTACTCCTGCCATTTTGTTAATTGTTTTTCAGTGGTTTTGTAGATTTTTTTTCCTTTTTTCCTCTCACTTTTTTTCGCTCTGGTTTGGTGGTTTTCTGTGTTGCCAAGCTTTGTTTGTTTTTTATCTTTCTCATTTGTGTATCTGCTGTAATTTCTTTGTGGTTACTATGGGACTAACAAAGAGTGCTGTAGTTATAATAGAATTTTTAAAGCTGATAACAACTTAACTTTGGGCATATGACTTTTAAAGGAGTACCTGATACCATCCTCCTCCCATTGTCTCTGAAACATTAAATTTGTCAATTTATAATTTTTATTGCTCTTTAGGTTACAGATTTAAAATCAGAAAAGTATTCACCTGAATTTTGTTTTCTATATTATTTATATGTATCTCTTCAATTAATTTCAAATACATATTTTGAATAAGAATCTAGCTTTTAAAAAAATAGCAAGATAAATTTTCTTTATCGTCACTTTTCGTATTTACTCCAGAGACCATGTGTGAGTTCATCAGAGCCACTACTTTTGTCCTAAGGAGAATGTCTTGATATCCTCTCAGGACTAGTGGAAATGCAAAGTATGGAAATCATTCCACTGATACTTCTTAGGCAAATAGAACAAGGCAGTGAACCTCTGGCATGGCCCTGAAGCTATTTGAGAAGATCTCTGGAGATCTTAATGTAGTCCTTAATATAGTCCTTAGAAGATAATTTTTTTCCACAAATAGATTTTGCATATTAGAATGGTGTTCAATATAGCACATATTCAGTTCATACAAATGCCAACATTTATATGAAATAGTGTGTGCCCTTTTGAAGCATGATTTTGTTCTGATGAGAGAGAAGGTAGAACATGACAGCTGTTCACTGCTTGTAGTGTCTTTTATTCTCCTGGAGGTTGGTGCAGGTTTTCCATGAAGTCTCAAATATCTTTGAATGGCCAGAAGGGCAGCAAATTTCTGCAGTATGGGAGTTGGTGGCTTGCTGAATTCTGAAATGATTATAAATGATATTACCTGCTTTTGGGTTTTCCTTGTTGATACCCTATACCTGACCCTTTCGTAAAATTAGCCCTACAGCAGAACAGAATTATTATTTGGGCTAAAAATCATTGGCATTTTGAGTTTTGTGAATGACAGGGTAATTTTTAGCTTTCTTTATATTGGATACCACAAGTCTATCACCACATTTGCTGTAGTTAATTGTAACATTCCTGGTATTGATGAAGAAGTCTGCTCACCATCATTTGAAGTGTTTCTTGGATGGTGTGGTGTCTGAAATGTTCAAAAAATCTGCCTTGCCTCTTTAAGAAGCAAGGTGGTCAAATGAAGGATTAATTGAGGCTTACCCACTCCCTCTGAGAAGGAAGAGAGCTGGAGATGAGCCACTCTTTTTTTGGTGTCCCCTTAGGACCGTTTAGACCTTTTTGGGCTCTGAGCTGCACTGGAAACAGAAGTTAAGGAGAGAGGTGCACATTTGATCCTGGAAGTAAGACCCAGATGGTAATGGGAAGTTAATTAGCATCTGTATTCAGTCTTGCAGTTTAGAACCAGCTAAAACACATGCATGTTCTCTGTCCACCAGGAAAGAAAGATGAAGCCATTATGGATGTATTTTTAAACACAGAGGTGATAACTCAGAGGCAAAAATACTTGCTTTGTTATGTAGGATTTTAAACTTTGTATTTTGTAAGTGTAACATAAAGGTTGATTTCTGTTTAAACAGTTTTTAATAGTGATATAAAAAGTGAATGACCTTATTAAAACACTGCTTCCACCTGAGGTGAGTCTAAAGTGTGTGTCTTTGTGGCCCTAATTAGGCATTGTCGATCATCTTTTAGTGGCATCCAGAGGTGAGAAATGACACCTGGGAGGAGTCCCCAGGTATCTTTTATCCCTGCCTGATGAAAACTCATCTCCTTTGAAGTGACTGCAGTATCAGTTTCTTTTAAACTTTTCTTTGATTCCACCAGAAAGAAGCTAAGGATCTGTGTGGTGTTCTTGTACTAAAGTGTTTTAAATAAAAAGTGAAGAACATGTAAGTGAAGAGACCCGGGTAACCAAAATAGGCCCCAAAGAGGCAATTAATGAAAATTCAGGCAGGGTGCTGGAGAGAAGTCCACTGGCTCCCATGGGGCTGGGTCCCCCCTTCCATCGTTGCTCCTGCACCCAGTCATTTTCCAAATTGCACTGGCTTTGTCTTCTTAACATCTCTCACATCCACCCCTTCCTTTCTGTTTCTGGAGGAAAAGAATAAGACGCACCGTTGTCTGTGAACTGGGCTTCTTATCTCACAGAGCTGTGATGAAGTTTAATAGTATATGCTAATCACTCAGCCCTGTGCCTGGAAATGATGGAAACTCAAGGCTAGTTTTATCTCCTTGCCCCCCACCCCCCAATCCCACTATACCTCTGGAATCAGAGTAACAGGATTCGAATCCTGGCACGCTCTCTTTCTACCCATAACTTTAGATAACTCATGAAACCTTTCTAAGACCTTGACTACTTATCTGTAAATTGGAAATCACAATTTCTGGCTCAAGAAATTGCTTGCCAGGCTTGAATGGGATGAAGTGTGTCAAAAGTGTTTTAGGGGCCATAACACTCCATGCAGATGTTAGTTATTACTCTGGTCGTCATTTTCTTTCCGACCAGGTTGTCCGAGCCTCTTCCCAGTCCCCTCACCTTTCATGGCTTTTCTTTGACTTTGCTTATGGCCATCCATCAGTCTCACAGAAACCCAGCCCTGATGCTTCCCCTCCCTCCTCAGAACCAGACTTTATACAACCCCGTGTCCTGGGCCCACCACAGTGGGTCTTCAGGCTACCTTTCCATCTCATCTCACCATTATTCCCCTTGTGCCACTGCCACTTGGGACCAAATGCTGTTTTTTGCCCCTACCTCACCATCTCCTAGCATCTTTGTTCCCTATACCAGAAGTGCCTGAGCTTCTCCCATTAGTGCATATCCAAATCCCACCCATCTCAGTCCATCTCAGATGCTGCCTTCTCTGTGCAGCCTTCCTCTCTCTACCTCGATAACACTGCCTCCCAAGCCTCCTGGATCCTGGGAATCTTCCTGGATGCTTTAGATCCCCAAGCTCTACTTCTGGGGATTGGGCTAAGTGGATTTGGGTAGAGTCCAGGAATCAGTATAATTGTGAATCACTCCCAGTGACTCTGATGCTCAGGGGACTTTGGGACCCCTGCTTTAAATATAGCTTGTGTGTGTGTGTGCGCGCGCACACGTGCGCATGTGTGTTGCAGCCCCCTCCCAGGTAGTGAGCAGGGTCTGACTCATCTGGATCTTCTGCGTAGTACCCCACAACGTCTAATGTCTAGAGGGCTCCTAAACATGTTTAGATAAACTTTATTTTCAAAAATGTAAAAGGACTTAGTAACCGTCTAATTTTCTTTTCATTTAACCCATTTATTTTTATACCAAATTAAGTGCCCTAAGTACTATTCTAGGTGCCAGGATCAAAGCAGTAACAAGATAGACAATGTTCCTGCCCTCTCTTAGCTCACATCCCAGTGAGTAAATGAGAAAACAAGTAAGCAGTGTGTGATGACATGCGTGAGCATGGAGGACATTAGCTAAATGAAATCAGATGCTCACAGAAGAACGAGAACTGCATGAATCCACTTTTATGAGGTATCTAAAATAAACTCATGGAAGCAAAAACAAAAATGGAATGATGGTTGCCAGGGGGTGGGGGAAGGGAGAGTTGTTAATCGGGTATAAAGTTTCAGGTAGGCAAGATGCATAAGCTCTGGAGATCCACTGTACAGCGTGTGCCTGTAGTTATCAGTACTGTATGGTGTACTTAAAAACCTGTTAACAGGTTAGATCTCACATTAAGTGTTTCTACAATAAAATTTTTTTAAATGGAAGAACAAAAAGAACCCAAGTAAGCAAGCACTGTCATTCCCTTGATGTGATGGAGGGTGCAGGTGTGAGTGCCGTGTTTGAAGGGCTGGGCAGGAAGGCCCTTTTTAAGGCAGCGGGCAACACAGAGATGAGTGAGGAGGAAGGAGTCACCAGGGAAAGGGCGAGGGCTGGACTGTTCAAGCCAGAGGGAAGTGCAAGCCCCCGCCCCTGAGTTGCAAAGGAACATGCTTGAGGAACAGAAGGGGAGCCTGGGGCTGGCCAGTAGAGGAGCAAGGAGTCCCTCCCTGAGGCTGGAGGAAGAGGGAACAGCCAGACTGTGATGAAGATTGGGCTCCATTTTGAATGTGATAGGAGCACTTGAAGGGTTTTAAGTAGGGGAGTGACAGGATCTGATTTACATTTTCAAAAGTCACTCTGACAGACTTAGGTGGGAATCTAGAGAAATTGGGATTTTTGAACCTCAACCATGACTGTGCTTCTGCACCATGAACTGGAGCCTGCAGGTCCAGGTCTGTCCTGCTACTCGGGGGTTTCTCAAACAGACAGCTGTTGTAAAAGCTTCTCTGTGTTGAGCAACAATAGACCTAAAATACCTCTTAATTTCTTTCTGCTTGCCTGGTGTGTTCTAAAATATGTAATTATGCATGTGAACATTAACTTGGAGGCAGTTAAGTGAGGGTGGGTTGTGGCAGTAGGCTCTCTCCAGAAGCATGGGCAGCTGAGTGGAGTTGGGGTCAGGGCTAGGAAATGTACTTGGGATAGAGGTTTGCAGTTTTCCCAGGGTGACAAGTACCCATCTTGTCTTCTGGCCACTCAGCAAACCAGGGCTTTGGCTCCTTCACTGGTTCATCTCTCTTGCTTGGCCATTAGTTAGTGAGGTCTCTGAAGGCCTAGTTCTTAGCCCTCAGCACCCTTGCGTTGATGCCCATTCCCCTTGGATGTCAGCCCCTCTTAGGACACAGAGACCCTCTAAATCCACAAGGCTGGCTCATTCTCTGGGGCTGCCAGTGAAATCTGTCACATAATGTGTTGGTGAGTCCTCCCATTTCTTGTCAAAAATTAAATCCCCTTCCAGGCTTTCCCCATCACAGTCATGTCAATGTCCGAGACAACATTCCTCATCCTCCAGATGCAAACACTTGGGGTGCTTTGGAGTCCTTTGCTTATGTTCACAGAATGTTAGAATGGAAGGGCCTTGACGATTATGTTCCACATTTCACTAATATTTCATTTTTAGAAGATTTCTCAGATTCACTCCTCACCCTGATCTTGCTGTTACCACTTTTGAGGAAAAACTTGTTAGAATTATTTGTCTTCCTAGCTGTGCTATATTTGAATTTATTAATGAGACAATCCAGATTTAAAAAGAAAAAACTAAGAGAAACTCTCAATACTTGAGAATTGAGATGCATAATTTAGTTCCCACCATATATAGCTTTATCAATACAGATGTTCCTGTGAATAAATGTATCTTTTAAAAAAAATTAAAAAGAGCCCCTGGTGACTTACTCAGGATATTTGCAATGTAGAGACATAGTTTTAAATGTAAAAAGCTCTGAGTCAGCGATGTTGCTTAGAAAGATGGGCTGTGAGATCCATGGTCTTAGGCCACTGCAGATGGGTTATTTACTTGACAGGCCATTTGTTAAGTGTTGTCGCTGCCTTCTTTTGAATTCTTTTCCTAATGCGTGCGCGATCTTTCTGCCTTATGCGGTTGCTGCATCTGGTAGAAGCCATAAATGTTTTTTTCTTCCTTGCAGGAAGAGTCTCAGATCCCTCGTGCCTGAGATTAGATTCCAAAGAAAATGGGAGGTGGGAAGAGGTGGGACCTGGAATGCATTCTGGTGAGCGTGGTAGTGGTGACACCGAGCTTGGAGGGGCAGAGGTTCTGGGGTGGAGTCCTACGCGCAGCACTGGAGACGGGGAGCCCCTTTCCCTGAGTCCAGTGGCAGACATGGTTGAGTCCCCACTGGAGCAGTGGTGGTGTAATTTGTCAACAGTTCCTGACTGCAACACCTCTGAGCCTGGCTCTCAGGCCCTGTCAGAGATTGTGCAAACTGCCTAACCTTCCTTAATAAACTAACCAGAGTGGGTTCTGTTTTTTTTTTTGCCACTGAGATAACTAATATACTTACCTGATGGACATTGGAGATACCTAGCTCAACAGGGGGAGCGCATGATCTTTAGTTAGCTTTGCCTATGAGCTGCGTCAGTTCCACAAACCAGAATTAAACAAAATTAGAGCTATTTTTGCATCAGTAACAGAAGCAGCCTGTGGAATGGAAAAGGCATTGGATCAGATGCAGAAGACCAACACTCTAGACTGCCGTACCTCTCTTGCTGCAGTGGTTTTGTGTGAGTCGCTTCTGTTTGGGCCTTAGTTTTCTTATTTGTGAGATGAGAGAATTATACCAGATAAACTCTAAGGTCTCTTCCAATCTCAACAGCCTCTGCTAAGCAGCCTTGCTGTTTCTAATATTAGAGAGCAGCTTCTGTTGTCTAGATATGTGCCAGCCAATACAGTAGCTATTAATCACTCATGGCTATTTAAATTTAAACTACTGAAATTCCATAAAACTACTGTGATGTGATATAATATGAAATATATATTTGGTCTCTGCCTCCCAGTTTCCAGCACAGAGCTCCTAAAACACTTAGATGGGGACACTAGGATAATATTTTGTCCTGATACTTGATCTTTGACCCCAGTTCCTGATGCAGAGTTCTTAAATCCCTCGGAATTTCCTGAGTGATCAGAGGATCTTTTGTTCTAATGAGACAACTCTTGGTGGGCTTTTGGATAGCATCAGGATGGGGGCTGGGTGCCAGGGTAACCAACCATTTGATAAGAGGATTGGAACTTTTAGCCCCACCCTTATCACCACCTTCCAAGAATGAAGAGGCTCCTTCATTCTCTTCTTTCCTTTAGTGCATGTGTCTAGGCTGGCTCAGCACCCAGCTCAGACTCCCCTGGAAGCGTCAGGTGCTCCCTTGCAGCATGCTGTGTGGTCTCTCGTGGTTTTTCAGCTCAGGCTCCCATGGCTGATTGCCTGGGTTTGTGTGCTGGATGCATTACTCTTGACCATGTGACCAGCTTAACAGCTTCATGCTTCACTTTCCTTATCTGTAAAATGAAGATTAATAGTAATACCTATTTCACAGGAGGTTTTCGAGGACCAAATAACATAGTACACTTACAGTGCTTAGGATAGTGCTCAGCAGTAATACAATGGCTGTTAGCCATCACCATTATCAGCATCATAAATTTCCTGGCTATCTTGTCATTCTTTGGGATCTTAGCAGACTGAGTGGCAACACCTTTAAAAAAATAAATAAATAAGGGAAATGAGTGATTCTGCTTTTGCTTAAGGTTTGGCGATTCACAAGCTCCCTGAGGGCCAGAATCGTGGGGCTTGCTTTCTACTGCAATTTCCTTTGAGCACGTGACAGAGGATGGTGCGCCAACAGGGTGGCCCTAATGAGTGGAGTTGCCATAGGCCAAACCCAGGCCATCTCTAGTGTGTACTAGCCATGTGACTTTATTAGCAAATATTTAATAGCACTGCTTCAGTTTCCCCATCTGTGAAATGGAGACATTGTCACCTTTGAGAGAAAAGTCAGATACTTTGAAACTCTGAGTTATGTCAAGCAAATAAATAAACAAATGGGTGAAGTCAATCACTCTAAACGCATGAACCCATTCATTTGTACATCAGATGATTTTTAGCATCTACCATGGGCAAGAAACCCTACTTGTTCTTGGAACACAGCAGTGAGCAAAAAGACATGCAATTCCTACCGTCTGGGAGCTTATTATGCTTTAGGAGCAGAGAGGTGTTCATCAGGTGATCATATGCATATCTGCCTAAGTATAACAACCAGTAATGCCGAGAGAGAGAGACACATGGTCCTACAAGTGTGTGTCACAATGCACCAGACCCAGGGGTGGTGCAGGGGCTGGTCATGGGGAAGGTTCTCCCAAGATCTTTGGGGTGGAAGGTGGAGGGAAAAGCATATCAAACCCCTGTGGTAGAAGGAGCAGGGTGCATCATAGGAGGAAAAAGAGAAAGAAGGTTCTTGTGTTCCGGGCGCTAAGAGTGATGGGCACAGTGAGGCTGGTAGATTGTCCATGGCTGGGCCATGTAAGGCCTTGAATGCCATTTTAAAGATCAAAGTCAGTTTTAGGTGCTAAGCAATAGCCTGGAAATGAATGACTAAGGAGTTTCCTGGGGAAATGTAACAGTAGCTAAAAATTATGTATACAAATGTATCCTAGCATGTCTAAAGTTCTCATTCAGATGATGTAATTAACATATTGAAGGGAGAAACTTTCACTAGCAAATGCATAGTATAGCCTATTAATTAATATGCTAAAGTGGAAGGATCTGTTGTGAGGAATATTATCACTAATCTGTTACCAATCATAATACCAATGTTTGCAATGATGTACATTTTTATATTAATTAGGGTAGATTTGTTTGCATTCAGATACCCTTTCCTGAAAGAGAAAAATGTGATAGTACCATCAGGGATCTGGAAATCGGGCATACCCTGCCGTCTGTAGAAATCTGTGATGCACCTATGTCCTGGTTTATCAGCAAGTCAAAATCCCCACGTGCTCATACGAATTATTACCCCCTGGGATACCATCCATTGATAAGTGCAGCCTTGGAACCTTGGGGATAGTTTCAAATGTTGATCAACATATAAGATCAAATTTTGTTAGAAAATGGGTGCCGGGTGTGGTGGCTAAGGCTGGGCGTGGTGGCTCACGCTGGTAATCCCAGCACTTCGGGAGGCCAAGGCAGGCAGATCACCTGAGGTCAGGAGTTCGAGACCAGCCTAGCCAAGATAGTGAAACCCCATTTCTACTGAAAAAACAAAAATTAGCCAGGTATGGTGGCACACGCCTGTAATCCCAGCTACTTGGGAGGTTGAGGCACGAGAATTGCTTGAATCCAGGAGGTAGAGGTTGCAGTGAGCAGAGATTCTGCCACTGCACTCCAGCCTGGGCAACAGAACGAGACTTCATCTCAAAAAAAACAAAGGAAAAAAAAAAAAAAAGAAAACGGGGATATTTGTTGTTAAGCTGATGTACATCAGACAGAACACTGAATTAAGCAAGCTATGAGAAGCGGGGATATCAACGTGGTACTGAGAGATCAGTGTTTATTGTGACTTGTGTAAAATTTAATCCCTACTCTAGCTATGTGGTACCTTTTGAACATTCTTCTGGCTTTTAGGGAATTTCTAGCCTTACGTACTCTGCCTCCTCAAAGTACAAGTCAAAAAGTCACTCTCTGGGCCTCCCTTGCAGCTACTACCCCAGTGTATCCCAGGCCCAGCTTCTCAGGGACATCAAAGGGGTAACTGGGATTCAGAAGAGCATCGTGGGAATGACAGGGCCTCCCACAGAACTGTTTCCAGCAAGGATGGCAGAGAGACATGCAGCTTTCCCTGCAGCATAAACAGGGTTCTGCACCACAGGCGTCTGCTGTACATGCCACAGTGCTGCCAGCGGTGTCACCAGAAGCGGAGTGAACTGGAGGGGCCTCAGGGAGCAATGGTCTCCCAGCCTGATTTGCTGGCCCACTCAGGTATTCTGTGAGTACATGTCCTTTAATAAATTCCTTTTCTGCTTAGTTAGAGTCTGTTGTTTGCAACTAAAAACTAAGTTATGTATCAGACTGTATAAATAAGCATGGTAAAGGCAGTAATTCATTCTGTTCTCACAGCGACTCGGTGTTGAAGAGGGACCACGTGAGTCTTGAGGTAACTGGATAAAGTTTAATCCTTTGGTTGTGCTGCCAGTTCAAATGTTTCTGCTATGATGCAGGGTATACAAACTTGGAAAAGCTCAGGTTATGTAAAATTGCACACAAAAATCATAGGATTTATGGGAAAAATAGAGTTGAGTAAATGACTCAAAACCTATGCAACTTTGTCCAGAGCACCAAGAAAAACAGTAACCGTCCCAATAAGGATCTTAGCACATTTGAAATGTCATGTTGAATTCCTAGGAAATACATATTCTAGTAAATACATATCAGCCTTTACCTTAAAAGGTGAGGGTAACATGAGTAAAGGGGTATAAACAAGGGTTGGGGCTGTCAGGGCTCATTTGCTATGAATCATAATATTAATACCAATGTTTGCAATAATGTGCATATTTGCATTAATTAGAGGAGATTCATTTGCATTCAAATACCCTTTCCTGAATGAGAAAAATGGGTGACAGTACCGGCAGGGACTTGGAAATCAGGCATAACCTGCAGCCTGTGGGAATGAGGAGTACTGAATAAGGAGTTATTAACGGAGCAACGTGTTCTGGAGACAAAGGCCGGGAGAGATGGAGAAAAGCATTTGCAGACTTTGCACGGACTTGAGTGATGTCTGAGATAGATGGCTCTGGATCCTTGTTCTGGGTTGTTCTTTTACACAAGAGCCTAGGAGAACTGGGTGGGCCCTATGTGCTTCTAAGACAGCATGTTGACCGAACTAAGCCAATAGGAAAAAGAGGCAGGATTAATGGGTATCTGGTACAATAATCTAGTCAATTCTTTTAGTGAATTCTCTGTTCAGATGCTCAAAGTATTGACAGGCTAAGAAAAAAAAAATGCATATAAACAGTCACAATTTCTGTTTTATAAGGATATTATTTTCCTGTTTACCAATTAGTCATATCAATTAACAACAAGGATACATTCTGAGAAATGCATTGTTAGGCAATTTCATCATTGTGCAACATCGTAGAGTGTACTTCCACATACCTATATGGTATAGCCTACTGCACACATAGGCTTTATGGTGGAGCCTCTTGCTCCTAGACTACAAACCTGTGTACTGTGTTACTGTACTGAATACTACAGGCAGTTGTAATATGATGTAGGTACTCATCTATCTAAACATAGAAGAGGTACAGTAAAAATACAGTATTATAATCTTATGAGACCACTATCATATATGCAGTCTGTTGTTGACTGAATCATTATGTAATGCATGACTGTACATATGAACTATGGTAATTAAAGTGTGAGTGTGTGTTATAGAACAGTCTGTATTTGAAAGTGCTGTGTAAACCTGAAAAGCTGGTGGACCTCTGGCCTGTAAATAAAGGGACTGTGGGTTTCAGATAGTCTCTAACATTGTTGAAGAGGACGAGGAAGAAGAGGAACCCAGGCAGAGGACTGGAATCTCTTGTCAATACAGGCTGCAGAGAGGTGGAATAGCTTAACAGTTAGAAGTGTAAGTTGTGGAATTAAACCACCTGGGTTTGAATCCCTACTCTACTGCATACTAAGTCTGAGCCTCGGTTTTTTCATTTGTAAGTTGGAAATGATAAATTTGCTAATGTATGTAAAATACTTAGGACAGTTCCCTAAGTTGTTATCTCTTATCTGTCCATCAGTCCACAATACCATCTGTTTCAAGGCTAAGGAGAGAAAACCCATATGAAAATGCCTCTCACAGGGTCTAAAACTTAGTAGGCACTCAGTACATATTTGTGGAATTTGAATCTGATAAGAAATATCGACATAACTGTAACTAACAGTGTTTCTTTTCCTGTCACCAAGTCTATGTGAAAAGGCTTGCTTAGTGGCAAGGGTGGGATAATCTTTTTTGACAAGACAGATAGAAGAGCATTTTCTACACCAACAGGTGATGATTCCTGGGTACTTGCAAGCAACATGTGATCCCAGGGGGAAGGTCCGACCTTCAAAATGTATGTGGACTAGAAAGAAAGAGCAGCCTGGTTTCAGCTGTGAAAAGGCCATTTAAAATAAAAACACTTTAGAAGCTGAAAGCCCATAGCATCTGTTTCTAATTGAAAGGTTATTTGCAGACAATGTGTTTTTCATAGAGTGACATTTATATGTGTTTATTAATATACTGAGTCTATTACAGTGAAATCCATTTTGGAAATGGAAATAGATTTTTGAACATTTTAATCAATTTTTAAGCAAAATAATGAACTGGAAAACATTTAGCTGAGAAAGTGCATCTGATTACACAGGCCAATTTTTCAGTTGTAATAAAATGCAGATATGTATTGTTTCTCCCTGTGCTACTGAGAGGAGGTTCCTTATTTTATCTCTGGACTCGATAACATTTTTCACTTTCATCTGATGCTTCAGAGGCCCAAGATTCCAGTCCTGGCTTTTCCATTTATTTCATGGCCTTAGGAAAGTCACTTCCCATTTCTGGACATCAGCTACTCATTGGTAAAAACACCTTATGATTTAAAAGGTCTCTTCTAGCCCTAAACTTATATAACTGTAGAATTCTGTGACTTGACTAAAGCAGGCAAATTCCTATAAGCAACTGAGCAATCCAAGAACCATGACATTCTCCAGACCCCATATTGGAGTTTTAGATACTGGATTTTATGTTTCCGTCGGCACCATGTGCAGAGCTCCTACCATATGCAGGATACTCTTAAGGCCAGTGATGAGATAGAAAGGTAAGCAACTACCTGAGTTTTCTGTGGTCTTGTTGGAGAGGGAAAACAAACATTTATGACATAATTAGAATGATTAAACCAGTTAGAAATGCCAGAGCACAAACCTTTGATAATTGTAGAATACGAAAGGAAGAAAGAGTCCTAGGGGGCAATGTGGAGAAAGGGACACATTCTTAAGGACAATATTTATAATGGAAAAATGAGGCTTGGGTTCATATTCTATTTACTGAGCCAAATCTGCACTACCTATTTTCTTTCCATGTAGGTTTTCTGGAATATACCCTAGTTGAGTCTTGCTCTCTCACTAGATTTGTGAGCATCTTGGAAGCCTCTCCTTGTTTTTCGGTGTGAAATCCCTGTGGCATCTAGCATGGCACTTTGTTCAATATAAATGTCTTGAATGGTGGAACACCCCTGATCCTCACCTTCCAGCCCTATCATTGCTCACTGGCACCTGAATTTGGATATGGCCAGGAGTGATAAGTGGGTGAGATGGAGGTGAATGGCACAGAAAAGCTGGCTCGTTTGTTGGTAGCTCTGCTGTTTTAGAAGTACAGATGGCAGCTGGCTGCTTCAGAAGACAGCATCTTTGGGGACTGTCAACTCCAAGGGAAATGGGGCTCGTTTGTTGGTAGCTCTGCTGTTTTAGAAGTACAGATGGCAGCTGGCTGCTTCAGAAGACAGCATCTTTGGGGACTGTCAACTCCAAGGGAAATGGGTATGCCTGAGAAAACTGCATCCCCAGATGCTGCTCTTGGGCTTATGTCTGGAGATGGTCTTTTCATGACTAAATATGTTTGTAATCACCTCTGAGACTCACAGACAACCTGCAGCTTTCTGTCTGTAAGAGCTTCTCCATCCTATCCTTGATGCATCTTGCTGGAACAGGCAGGAGAGTGGCAGCATTTGTATATGGTGCACCCACAGGTGTATTTTCAGAGGGAAAAAATCAAGCTATGTCATCATTGCTTTAAATTGGGGATCTTTAAATGGGTTCTGTAGTCCTGCCAAGGAAGCTACTGGTTAAACTGAGATTTAGGGATTTCCAATGATTTTGATCTTCCTGGCTTTCTCTCTAATAAAGAAATCAAAGATTGATAATTTAGTCTTACAAACTTTTAAAAGTTTCTGAGAAATCAATCCTGACTCCAAGAACAAAAAAGGCCCGGCTTGAATGAGTTTGTGCTGGCACCTGGCGGCTTGGTGATGCAGAATACTCACGGGTCCCCAAACTCACTGTGGAAGATGGCGTTAGGCAGGAGGCTGGAAGAGAACATGGATGGGGAGCCAGTGGGGGAAATGAGGAGTCTCAGGCTACTGTATAGAGTGGAAGGACATCTTTCCATACTGGCTAGCTGCCATGCACTGGGGTAATTGTACCTTCCCGCCCCCCACCGCCCCACCAAGTGTTCTCCTAGGTGCTGTTCTGGGCACTGCTGAGCAGGCACCTATGGTCTGTGAGGGGCATCCATTCTTTTCCTGGCTCTGATGGCTCACGTGGAGCCTGTCGAGTTTTCTTTTCAAACTTGATACTGTGTCACTGCACTGCTACCATGGTGGATTTGTACACTCCTGTTATATTTAACTTTGGCTACCTGAGGATGTGGGAGATGATTATTCACACTACACGGTGTAAAGATTTATACATATTTTTTTCCATAGGGTTTTGTTACATTTTGTTTATTTCATTAATGCTTTTTTTTATATAACAATCCCACCCACGTCCTGTACATGTACAGAAATACAGGTGGAGTACCCCTTATCTGAAATGCTTGGGACTAGAAGTGTTGAATTTTAATTTTTTTCAGAATTTGGAATATTTGCATATACATAATGAGATGTCTAGGGGATGGTACTGAAGTCTAAACATGAAATTCATTTATGTTTAATGTATACCTTATATACATAGCCTGAAGGTAATTTTATACCATATTTTAAATAATTTTGTGCACGAAACAGTGTTGACTGCATTTGGACAGTGGCCTGACACATGAGACCACATGTGGCATTTTCTACTTGTGGCATCATCACAGAGCTCAAACGTTTCAAATTTTAGAGTTTTGAATTGTGGATTTTCTGTAATAGAATTCCCAGAGAAAGGTCAAATATATAGGGTCTAGATTTACCCATCACATTAGTGCTAAGATACCTATAGAATTGTACCTCCTGTGTCTAACTTTCTGGCCTTCAACAAGGACCTTCTGGATTGGGTTGATCTCTCTTTGCCTTCAATGGGAGTACTGCTAGCAGGATGCACTGCTGAAGTCACTCCTTGTTAGAGGGTTGGCTTTGCATCCACATTTTCTTAACCAGGCTTCCTGACCAGCCTCTGCTTTTTGTAGAATTGTTTAGCTATGTTGAGCACCAGGGAGGAGCACAGAGGCCTCTCTGGGGCAAAGACAATGAATCCCAGCCCTGAGGAAGGCCACTGTTATGCATGGAGCTCTGGGTTATAGGACCTCCATTGCCAGCACTACTTCAACCTGGCCATGTGAACATGCCCATATCAGGCTCCAGTTCCTCATTTGCCAAATAGAAGACAGTGACTACGTAACAGGGTTTTGTGTAGATTGGGTTAGATGATTTATGTGGAAGAACTTGGTGGTACTGTACAGTATTGTAAGGTTGATTACTAGCCTGTTGCTCTAACCTAATGAGTTGTAATACTGTGGGGGAAGGGGACTGGGAAACATTGTGTGTTTGTGTGTGTGTGTGTGTGTGTGTGGGGTAAAATAATATAAATAATCTGTCTTTCATAGTTGATGATTCTCTGGACATTGGCTAGAATCCCTTTGGATGGGGGAGAAAGATCAGTAGGAGGGGGTAGACCAGTCCGCTTGGTGTGCAAACAGCTCTGTTCACACATCAGATGTCAGATTGGCTTGGCCTTTTATGACAGAAGCTACTTTGAGCGACACTCTTGCTGGTGTGTGTTTGTGTGTGTGTGCATGCGTGCATGCATGCGTGCATCCCTTCTTGTGCTGTATCTGCATAGAAAATATAGCAAAGGTTTTGATTGAAAATTTGGAGGTGGGGAAGACTCTGTGAATAGCACATCAACAAATAAACACACCCATGAAATAAACAGTGTTCCAAACCAAACCCACTACAACACAAACATGCAAATATGCTAAAAGCTGTGTAACCAATAGCATGGCCCCTTTAGCTCTGAATTACAGAGCCTGGAAGAGCAGCTTGCGGATGCTCAAGATTCCAGTAATTATTCAACTAGCAGCCAGCTCCATAACTCTCAGCTGCTCCTGGGGAGATTAGGGCATATGCATATCGAGTCCAGCTCCGAGCTGTCACTGGCCATTAGAGTGCTAATGACCAACTGATTTGGCTGCCTCAATGTGGTGGAATTCCTTTTGAAAGTATTTTCTTTTTAATTGGGGAAAATACGTTTAGAGCTTTAGTAAGTACCTCATCACTGAAGCCACTGCCGTAAAATATATAAATAGCCTATGTGAAAGTTCTGGGACATTTGTATGAATTTAGCCCATTCTAGCACACAGAATTTTACCATCCTTCATCCACCTAACCTGGAGTCTCTGATGCCTGTTGTTCCCTGAGGGCTCATAGCTACTGCTGGTATTTTGAGAATGAGTTTCAGAGCATCTTTTCAGTACTGAACTTTCTTTGTCTGAACAGAATGCAGCCAGTTCCCTACAGTTTCCTGCTGGGGAACCCAGCTGTCTGCTGTTTTCATGTGTGTCCAGCCCAGGCATGCTGGGCTCAGCACCACATTACTGCTTGTGGACTGAAGACTTTACAGCCTCTGCCTGTTAGTGATTGTATCTCTCCTCTGCTGTATCATTTACAGTGGAGGTGGAAGAACAATATGGGAGAATCTGTCTTTTCTTGAGTTGGAGAAGGATTTATGTCTCCTAATCAGCAGAAAGTTAATGTAACTGGGGCATTCAGATAATGAATAGGGTGCTAATACAGGTGATCAGGGGCAGTAGCAAAGACACCCCTCAGATAATTCCCCCATGGGGCTTCTGTTTGAGTTGGACCTTTGCCATACAGCAGGATTTGGCGATGTTGGCACTGTTGACATTTTGGACTCGTTAATTCTTTGTTGTGGGAGCTCTCCTGTGTACTTAGATGTTTAACAGCGTCTCGGGCCTCTGTCTGCTAAATGTCAGTAGCATCCCCCAGAAATGACAATAAAAAATATCACCAGATAGTGCCAACTAGCCCTGGGGTGTGGAGAGAGAGGGGAATTGCACTTGGTTGAAACCACTGTTAAAGATAAAATGTCATGTCGGGTTTTGAACTGTACCTAAAAGAAGGTGTAAAAAAAAAAAGGTGGCTATAGGGCTTCAAGTTTGAAATAATGTCTATTGCCTCTGATACATCCTCACCCAACTGCCACTGTAATGTAATGTCTAGAAAACACTGAGAAAAGATGAACAAAATAAACACTGAAAAGTAGGGCTGGACTTCAGTCTGTTGTCAGAATCAATGAGAAATTTCTCTTACTTTGGCACAGAAAGCTCACTTGTCTGAAAATGCTGTCAGTGGCTTGTGCATGCTGTGCTACGAAGTCCCTCACCCTTCTTCTGCTGTCTGCCCGTCCCACCAGTTCAGAAACATAGTCTGTTGCAAGCAGAAAGGTGGGCTGCCCTTCCTTGTACAAATACAGTGTCATTGTTGCATTCCGTCCCAGCGCAATTATTGTATCCCTCTTCTCACTTCATAGACACCCCCCTTTCCACACCAATGTGGAGACTCCAATAATAATAAAATGAGTAGACAGGAAGTGGGGAACACCGGATTGGGCCATTGGGGTTCATTTCTGTGTTCCGTCTTCCGTCTTCTGCAGGTCAGCTGCAGTAGGTGAAAATGGAGACAGGAAGGGCCCTGCTGACACATTGGGAAGGGCCATTTTAATGTGTCATGTTGGTTAATTGATCAGACAAGCAACGAATGGGATAGAGGAAAATGTACCCTGAAGGAAGAAGCAGGATATCAGAGAATACCTGTTGGAAACTTGAAGTTGGACTAGGACTGGCATCTCGTTTTGTTCTTTGAGTGTGTTGCTTGAGGAGATTTGATTGTTGTTTAAGGAGAAACAGAACAAAGTGAAAAGCAATAAACTGTTTCCTTTACCCTTTTCAATTGAAAGAAGAACAGTTTGAGAAACTCGAGTCATTTGAAGTTCTCCTTTATTAATTTTATAGAGAATTTTATGATTCTGGGTTTTATTGTTGTTATTGGTAATTGGATGATATAAAAATTTTTCAGTGATTTTGTCTTCTTGCTAATTAGAAATAGTGATGAAAGTATCTTTTTGTATTACAAGGCTTTTTTTTCCTTTAAACAATTGTACACATTTTGTATTTTTTTTTTTTGCTTTTCTCCATACAGACCTTTATGAGAATGGATTCATTGTATCCCGTAATTTGCTATTATAGTATGTAATGAAAATGAGATATTCATCATTGAAAATCACAGCAAAAGGCAATGTATTCCTCATTGATAGATAGCAGTTGTTGATAAATGCTAAATATGAATACATTTTACTTCATCTAAGGATTTATGTAGAGAAAATAAATAATATTTAGCCACTGAAGAAAGTTTCCACTGTAATGTAAGGGACTCATCACTCCAAGTCTCAGAGGAAAAGCAGGCCTGTGAGATGATTTATTATAAATATAAAAAACAGGAAAAATATTTTAAAACTTTAGTCTCATGTGGCATATATGAAATAAGAGTAATAAGCCTTAAATAGAGGATAAGAAGGGAAGAAAAATGGAGTTAAGGGAAATAAAGCATTTCTGGAAAAACAAGGATGCAATCACATAATTAAAGTTCTCTTTGGAGAACATGAAGATCAAAAGTGACACTTGAAAATACTCCTATGAGGAAGACAGTCTTGAGATTGTCTTCTACATTGTAGAAAAGGAGATACAAATATTGAGAGAAAATAATAAATACTAGAGATAACTGTAAAACCTGAACAATGAGAGCAGAAGCATTAAAAAGGCCAACATAAAGAAGAAGCTGTCCTGGATTTAAAAGGACTAACCATATTACAAGCAAAATACATAGTAGAAGGGGCTGGGCACAGTGGCTAATGCCTGTAATCCCAGCACTTTGGGAGGCCGAGGCAGGTGAATCACCTGAGATCAGGAGTTTGAGACCAGCCTGGCCAACATGGTGAAACCCCGTCTCTACCAAAAATACAAAAATTAGCCGAGTGAGGTGGTGGACTTCTGTAATCCCAACTATTCAGGAGGCTGAGGCAGGAGAATTGCTTGAACCTGGGAGGCAGAGGCTATAGTGAGCCAAGATTGCACCACTGTACTCCAGCCTGCGTGACAGAGGAGGACCCTGTCTGGAAAAAAGAAAATCACAGAAAGAGAGCCATGTGGAGGCACATTCTGCTGTAATTTTTGAATTATGGAACAAAAGAAAAAGGTACACAAGGATCCACACAAGAGACAAGGGTTACTTAGGAAGAGAAAAAAGGTGTAGGACATCTGCCTGGCAATACCTCAGGCCAAAAAAACAGTGGAACAAGGCCTATTGAGTACTGAGAGGGAAAGACTATGATTCAAGAATTTTATATCCAGTTAAATTGTTTTAGTGTTTGAAGCCAACTGAACGACTTCTCTAAAAATGCTTTAGGGTGCCTGCCCTGGACAAGCCCTCTTCTCACAGAATAGTCTTGACCTGGAAGGACCTATGGAGTAGGAAGGCCTTTGAGCCCAGGTGGCCTTGCCATCTCCTGCTAAAGTGGTAGGAGTAGGAGTGGCCATCCCTCAGAAGTAACCTGCGATTTAAGATCTGGTAAACAGGGATGAGGTGGGCCAGCTAGATTCTTCTTCGAGGATTTTGGGATAGAGAAAATGTTGCAGTTGGTTTTGAGGACTCGAGGTAGAGAGTCACAGAGATGGGGGTGTTGTCAGCGGCTCCCCAGTCTGGCAATGTGTAAACTGATATTGCAGAGGGCCAGAAGCTACGAGGAGGCAGGGATGCTGAGTGGGGTCAGAGAGGAGCAGAGAAGCCACACACAGAGACAGGGCAGCTGTTTCAGTGCCTTTTTTGTGCTCACGAAGCCCTGTCATCCTTTGAATTTTGTCCTGTGTCCTTCCAGTAAATCCTCCTGGATATGAGAGTGTGTATCTGTTCCTTCCACTCAAGAAAAGTTCTTCCTACAAGGGCATTCTCAGATCATCAAGGGCTTATGAAGCATGCCACCTGGCAGCCTTTAATTGAAAACATTGCTTGAAGTACACTAAAAATTATAAATCAAATAATAAAGAAGTGCGAAGGGATTGGATTGCTCTGTGGGACTCTCAGTAGGCTTAATACCTAATTTCTGCCTAAAGTCCTGAGGAGACTGGTCACCCAATAGCCACCCTGATGACTTGGTTACTCTAGTGACATAGAAGATGGCCGAGGGCTTGGTATTTCTTTTTCACAATAGCATCTGGATGAAACTAAAAAGTAAAGAATGTTGTTAGGGATTGTTATTCTCAATTTAGGCAATAATCCTGTAATCTGACATAAAAGATGTTCCGCAACAGCTTTTCTCCCAGGTAGCATTTATCATCAGAATTATAATTGCAGTTTAATATAGTGACAACAATGTAGCAAATATGAACATTCATACAATGTTGCCTTGAGAGAAAACTGGGGAAAAAATACCAAAATATTATGTGGTTTTCTTTGGTGGTAGTAAATAGGAGATTTTTTCCCTCTTACACACACACACACACACACACACACGCACACACATGCACACACACGCACACACACATGCACACACACACAAACACACGCTCTCTCTCTCTCTCTAACTCACCCTCATAGACATACACATAGTGTGTATAAAAATATATATATATAGAAAACACACACTATGTGTATGTTTGCTTCAATGAGTAGTTATTGATTTTTTTTTTTTAAGACATGAGGTCTTGCTACATTGTCCAGGTTGGAGTGCAGTGGCTATTCACAGGTGCAATAATAGCACACGACAGTTTAGAACTCCTGGGCTCAAGTTATCCTCCCCTGCTTAGGTTCCCAAGTAGCTGGAACTACAGGTGTGCCTCACCACACCCAGCTTAATTTTATATTTAAATAAAGTATTGCTTTATTTAATTTTTTTTTTTGAGACACAGTGTATCGCTCTGTTGCCCAGGCTGGAGTGCGGTGGTGCAATCTCGGCTCACTGCAACCTCCGCCTCCTGGGTCCAAGAAATTATCCTGCCTCAGCCTCCTGAGTAGCTGCGACTACAGGCGCACGCCGCCATGCCCGGCTAATTTTTTGTATTTTAGTAGAGACGAGGTTTCACCCTGTTGCCCAGTCTGGTCTTGAACTCCTGAGCTCAGGCAATACGCCTGCCTCGGCCTCTCAAAGTGCAAGGATTACAGGTGTGAGCCACTGCGTCTAGCCAAGTATTGCTTTTTAAATGAAAAAATATAAGACAATATATTTTTATTTTATATTAAAAAAATAGAGACAATACTGAGCAATGTTTCTGAATGAAACCACAATAATGACTTACTAAGAACATCCTGTGCATGGAGTATCATGTTTAGCCACTTGACCAGCATTGTGTCCCCAAATCTTCCTGTGAATCCAATAGACTGTGGGGTTTTGCCATTTTCTAAATGAGGGGAGACAAGCTCTTTGAGGGTAAAGGCTTAACAAAGTCTCACAGGCAGACATAAAGCTTGACTGCTCTAGAAAAGAATACCAGCCAGCTGCGGTGGCTCACGCCTGTAATCCTAGCACTTTGGGAGGCTGAGGCGGCAGATCACTTGAGGTCAGGAGTTTGAGACTAGCCTGGCCAACATGATGAAACCCCGTCTCTACTAAAAATACAAAAATTAGCTGGGTGTGGTGGCGCGTGCCTGTAATCCCAGCTCCTTAGGAGGGTAAGGCAGGAGAATCACTTGAACCCGGGAGGCGGAGGTTGCAGTGAGCTGAGATTGTGCCACTGCACTACAGCCTGGGTGACAGAGTGAGACTCCATCTCAAAAAACAAACAAAAAACAAAACAACAGAAAGAAAAGAATATCTACATTCACAGGGAACTTCAGAGGTTTAGGTGGAATGTCAGCATCCCCCCTGGTCTCCTGGTCTGAATGACTCAGCTGAGGGCCTGGGAACGATTTGCTGTCTGCCCAGTGCCCCAGGCCGACAATGTGAGTGTGGCCTCTCCCTTGGAGAATGTTTCTGCACTGGCCAGGGAGTTCATCAGCGTCAGCGCTTATTCCAGGGAATGTCTGTGACAAGGGTCTGAATGGGGGATAACTGGCCAGTTGGTGGATTCATCTCCTCCTTCCTTCTGCTTTCTCTTTTCCTCTCCCTTGATGTCCCTTTGGCTGTTTTCCCCATCTCCAACCCTGCTTTTTGAATGACAAAGGAAAGTGAAATTCAAACTGTTTCAAGATGAGAGACAGGAAGTTGTCACTATTGACAGACGACAACCTACGTATCCTTATAGGTCTTGATTACTCTTTCTCCATCTGCCTGCCTCTCCCACCTCTGGGCAGGGAATAAATAGGTAGGGGTGGGAGGTTGGCCTCCAACTGCCCAAATTTCTTGCTGTCACCTAAACTGTTACCCCTGGCTTACCAGGGACATGGTCATCCCTCTGGTGTATTTCAAAACACATTTTGATTTCTTTACAATTCAGCAAATGCCTTAGTTTCTTTTCCTGTTTCTGTCATAGCAGTGTTAGGTTTAGGAAATAAGTAAAATTTGGACAGTTTTTGCCGCATCAGTGTTTTAGTTAAAAAAAAAATATATATATATATATATTGGTTGGATGCAGTGGCTTGCCCCTGTAATCCCAGCACTTCGGGAGGCTGAGTTGGGAGGATTGCTTGAGGCCAGGAGTTGAAGACTGGCCTGGGCAATATAGTGAGACTCCATCTCTATAAAATAAAATAAAATATTAGCCAGTCATGGTGGTGTGCACCTGTAGTTCCAGCCACTCAGGAGGCTGAGGTGGGAGGATAGCTTGAGCCCAGGAGCTCAAGGCTGTGGTGAGCTAGGATCAACCACTGCACTCCAGTCTGGTTGACAGAGTGAGACCCTGTCTCTGAAAAAACAAAAATAAAATAATATTGTCTTAAATCATATTAAGTATACGTGTTGTATATATATTATACATATATGGATATATTTATGTGTCTGTATATATTTTGATTGTTTGATTGTTTTACATTTGCAAAAGGTTTAGGGGCTGATCTCAGAGCTGTTTGCCAACAGAGGTAGATTAATATGGCACCGCTGTTCACAGACAGGCATCATGGGGAGAACTGCATTTGCTTCATTGTAATGACCACAGTTAAGCAAAGCTTTTGATTTTCTTTTTCTGAAGCCTTTATGGAACGTTAGTCCTGCCAAGAAAGCGAAAACACATTTAGTGAGTTTGTAATCAGGAGCTGATGGAATAGCCTTTAAAAAAGCAGACATTTTTAAAAAAAGAAATTCAGCTAATTTCATAAATGTGGGTTAACAGAGGCAGGGAAGTTAGGGGAGGATATAGGAAGGGTAAATTTCATCAGTAGGATGGTTTGGCATGCTTTCTCTGAATTTTTTTTTCCTCTAATTTTTCTCTGAAAAATTAATAATGCTCCAGGGTGTTTTTCTTTTTTTTTTTCCTTCTTTTTCTGTGAAAAATTAAGGGAATTGTTCAAATAATCTCTCTTCACTCTTTAAAAACTCATGTCTGGCTGAGCTTGGTGACTTGCACCTGTAATCCCAGCATTCTGAGAGGCTGAGCCAAGAGAATTGCTTGAAGCCAGTAGTTTGAGACCAGGAGTTCAAGCCTGCAGTGAGCTGTGATTGTGTCACTGCACTCCAATCTGGGCCATAGAGTGAGACCCTGCCTCAACCCTCCCCACCCCTTCAAAAGACTTCACGTGTTTTGAATTTTAATTTTTCCAAATTTTTCTTTGAATTCATTTTTGGGGCTCTCATTGTTTCTTCATAGGACCCTTCCAAAGGCCTTCCTGCTATGCTCTGTATTATTGCCTACATTCTTTTGCCTCTAAGTCCATCCTTTCCATGAACTCCTTACCTTAACAGAGCATGGATGAGAATCTAGCAACATCCTCAGAAACCTTGGTAGCTCCTCTCTGCCCATAGGGATAAATTCATCGAGGCCTCATATCCAGTCCCAGCTCACCTTTCCAGCCCTATTTTTCTACCCTCACTGTCTCCACCTTCCACATAATCTAGATAGCTGAAGCAGTTCTTGGTCCCAGAACACACTGTTGACTTTTCTGTTCTCTGCCCTTGGGTTGCAGGTGGCCTGTGAGCTGTCTGTAAGATCCAAGATCTGTCTGTTTCGGGGTCTTTGGCCCTCTCAAACACTAGACCCTAAGAAAAGACTCTTTATTTTCTGCAACAGATGGAGAAGGAAATGGTATGCACTGCCCGTGCCCTCTATTCACCCACTGCTGGTCCTGAGGTGTGGGAATCTCTCAAGCTCTAGGCATCGCCACTGGGAGGGGATGTAGCTGGTGATATGTACAGTTTTAGTGACTTTTGACTATATGGATTCCTGTCAAGGGACCTTGTCAAGTATCTTTACCTAGAGAAAGTTAGAAGGGTTTAATAAGTCTCCAGGGTGTTTTGTTTTTTTCTTTTCTTTCTTTCTTTCGTTTTTTTTTTTTTTTTTTTTTTTTGACACAGTTTTGCTCTTGTTGCCCAAGCGGGAGTGCAAGGGCATGAACTCAGCTCACTGCAACCTCTGCCTCCCGGGTTCAAGGAATTCTCCTGCTTCAGCCTCCCGAGTAGCTGGGATTACAGGCATGCGCCACCATGCCTAGCTAATTTTTGTATTTTTAGTAGAAACAAGGTTTCATCATGTTGGCCTGGCTGGTCTCGAACTCCTGACTTCAGGTGATCCGCCCTCCTCAGCCTCCCAAAATGCTGGGATTATAGGCATGAGCCACCATGCCCAGCCCAGGGTGTTTTTCAGAGAAGATCTACCAGCTATTCCTAATCTAGTTCATACATGGGTTTGGTTCTCTTATAGGTGTCCTTCCGCTCCCAGTTCATTCAAAACATGCATGATCTTTCCTCAATATCTTATCTCTTCAGTAGTTGTTATGTCAGTAAATGGTGCCTTCACTTCTTCCATTACATGCACCAGATGGCAGGAGTTATCTCTGATACCTCCTTCGTCCTCACCCCTAAATTCCCAGGTCTGTTGATTCTACATACCTATGTCTCCCAAATGTTCCCACTGTCTCTAAATATCCATGGCTACTGTCACCTCTTATCTGGGCAACTGAAGTAGTTTCCCATCTAGTCAACATCCACATGTTCTCTTCCTCCTACCCGTTCTCCATATTGTAATGAGAATGGCTTTAAAAAAAAAAAACCACACAATTCTGATCAAGGTACCCTTTGCTTAAAATACTCCAGTGATTACCAATGCTTTGAAGATTTTAAGACAAAATTCTTAAACTGAACTATAAAATTCTCCTTGTTCAGGCCTCTTCTCTTACCTCTCGTACCTCTGCAACCTCATCATGCATTAGTCATCCCTCACTCTTAGCATTCAGCCTAATGAGTTTTCTTTTGGTCCCTTGGATGCCCATTTTCTCTTGCTGCCACAAGGCATTTGCACAAGCTATTCCATCTGCTTAGAATGGTATCCTTCTCTCACTTGCTTAATAAGCTTTCCCTTCACAACTCAATTTAGTCATGACTTCTTTTTTTTCCTTTTTTTTTTTTTTTTTGAGATCAGAGTCACACTCTGTTGCCCAGACTGGAGTGCAGTGGCACAGTCTTGGCTCACTGCAACCTCCACCTCCTGGGCTCAAGTGATTCTCCTGCCCCAGCCTCCTAAGTAGCTAGGACTACAGGTATGTGCCACTATGCTTAGCTAACTTTTGTATTTTTTGTAGAGATGGGGTTTCACCACATTGTCCAGGCTGGCCTCAAACTCCTGGGAACAAGAGATCCACCCACCTTGGCCTCCAAAAGTGCTGGGATTACAGGTGTGAGCCACTGCACCAGGCCTTAGTCATCACTTCTTCCGGAGACCTTCTCTCATCTCTCAGTAAAATTGTGTTGTTTCTCCCTGAATAGTATGTTTTATCTCTCCAGAGCCTCATGACAGCTTTTCATTTATTTCTGAAATGATTTGGCTGCTTTTCTTCCCTGTTGGACTGTAAGCTCCATTAAAGCAGGGACCACGTATAATTTTGCTTATGTCACCAACACTTAGCACAACACCTGGCACTTAATAGGTTCCTTTAACTATTTGTTGAAGATCATGAGGAAGGGCATTTACTTTGTTCATGCTATTTTCATACTACAGCTTTTTTCCTCCTTCTACTTAACATTTAGTCTAAGCATCCCTTTAGATGACACTATGCTGTTTCTCACCAGCCAGAATTAATTACTCTGTGCTTCAGCTGGTCAATTCAGCTAACATTCTTTCAGTGTCTACTACATGCCAGGCAACACACTGGGCCTTGGAGACATAAAAATGGGAAAGACAGTGTCCCTGATACAAAGTGGCCCATAGTTTACCTGAATGTGATGTATTTGAATGCCATACCAGGAATCTGAATAAAGTGATGGGAAAATACAGAAGCAGGACCATCCACTTGGCCTGAGGAAGCCATGAAACATTTCAGGGAACGTGATCCAGGGGCTGGACTTGAAGGTTGGCATGTGATTCCACCAGGCATGGAAGATGGAGGAGAAGGGAACTGCTGAGGAGGAAGCAGCTGGCACAGAGGTGCAGAGGTGGAAGATGAGTGCATGCTTGGAAAGATGGTGGTCCAGTGTGGCTGGGATGGTTAGGTCCACCGGGAGGTAAGAGGAGACACTGGGTTGTGGAGAGGCCAGGAAGGTGGGACCTTATCCTGTCTGGCATGAGGAACCTCCACATGGCTTTAAGCACGGGCTTAACAGCATCAGATTTCATTTTTAAAATGATAACCCAGCACTTGTGTGGAGAGCGTATGGCAGCTGGTGGTGGTGAGGATGGAGGCACAGAGAAAAGCAAGGCAGTGGTTGCAGTGACCTGGGCTATGAAGGAGCAGAGCCTGAAGCTTCACTGTGAAAGTGGGAATGGGGAGGTTGGGATGATTTGAGAGAAGGCCTCAAAGTCCAAGCGACAGACTTGATAATGAAGCCTGGGTGGGGAAGAATGTGGGGAGAGTGGAGACAGAACAGCTTGGGGTTTTTGGTCGGGTGAAGTGACAGATTGTGATGAACTGGGGCCATCACCAGGGCCTCTCTGGACCCTTTCAAATGGTCTCAGATGGCGTTAGTGGTTAGGAGATGGGCTGAAATGGAATAGAGAGAATTAACAGGTTAGGCCGGGCATGGTGGCTCACGCCTGTAATCCCAGCACTTTGGGAGGGTGAGGTGGGTGGATCTCCTGAGGTTAGGAGTTCGAGACCAGTCTGACCAACATGGTGGAACCCCGTTGCTACTAAAAATACAAAATTATCTGGGTGTGGTGGCGAGCGCCTGTAATCCCAGCTACTCAGGAGGCTGAGGCAGAATTGCTTGAACCCGGGAGGCAGAGGTTGTGGTGAGCTGAGATCGTGCCATTGCACTCCAGCCTGGGCAACAAGAGCAAAACTCCATCTCAAAAAATTTAATGGGTTACAAGACAAAAACTTTTTGATTCATAATTTGGATAGAACTCGAGCAGAAATTTAAGTTGGTTCTCCATGAAGAAGGAAATCACTGGACTTGTTAATGGTATTAATAGAAAATTACAGAAGCATATGGAATCCCGTTAAGAAAGTAGATCCTGGTCCCTCAGTAGTAGTCATCCTGGTTGTGATGAGGGCATATTTATTTTATCTGCGTATTAAGGCAGGTCCCAAAGGGCCTCTATTTGGCAGTTTTCCAATAATCTAGTTACTGTTTAGTCTCTAAAACATATTGGACACCATTTTGTGCATAACACTGAGTTGGGAGCTGTGAGGAAGATGATTAAATGAGTCATGAAAATCTCATTTCTTCCAAAGGCTCTGGGAATTCAGACTTCCGAGTTTCCCTCCGCATAGCTTTAATTTATACATTTGACCAAGTCCTCCTGTGACTCCAGAACCTCACCGAACAACCTATTTCTGTCTGCCTGTACTGAATCTGGAGTATCTGAGCAGATGTGTTACCCCAGCCAGGTGGACATCTTAAGTGTGTGTGTACACAGCAGAGCAGATTAACTTTGGAACAATGAATGGCATTAAAAAGTCAAAACAGAACAATTTTCATGTAGGGTGGGTATAAACAACTGTATAATAAGGTGGTGTTTATAGGAAACAGTCCAAGAAGGTCTTGGGGAAAACTCTGAGATAATTGCATGATTTCCTCTCTTATTTCATACCCGACTATAGTCACTGACCCAGCAGTGATGGACTGTCCTCAGAGTCGCCATTGTCTTATGGAACATTTCTGTTCTGCTGTCAGTGCTCACTGTGGGCACCAAGGCAGAGGAAAATTGGGGAAAGCACCGAAGAACACCTAGGAAAAGGGCCAGACCCAATTACCAAGGCTGAGCCAACAACTGTCTGGTCTGACCTTGGCCTATGTTAATGTCCTGGACAAGGCCCAGTGCTTTAAGGGTGCGTTGTTGGAGGTGATACAAGGACTAACTAAAACAGTAGCTGCTTTAAAATGTTGTATCCCCAGAGTCTACAAGGCCTGGAAAATAGTAGGTGTTTAATAAGTGTTTGTAAGTTGTTTGAATGAATTAATGAAGAACAAATTGATGAATGGATGAATCAGGTTCCAAGCCACAGATCTGGAGTAGGAACCAGGAGACTTAGGGGAGCTCATGAGGCAGGTGGTAAAGAAGGTGGGGACAGGCACCCAGATGTGGCTTGATGCTCCTGCTGTGCCAGGGCTCTGGCCCTCCTTGGTGCATGGAGAATTAGGTAACAGGCTAGTTACCTAATTATTTGATTCATAATTTGATTAGAACTTGCACAGAAATTTAAGTTGGATCTCCGTGAAGAAGGAAATCACTGGACTTGTTAATGGTATTAATTGAAAATTACAGAAGCATATGGAATTCCTGTTAAGAAGGTAGATCACGGCCCCTCAGCAGTAGTCACGCTGGTTGTGATGAGGGCATATTTATTTTATCTGCCTATTAAGGCAGGTCCCGAAGTGCCTGTATTTGGCATTATTCCAATTGCTGTTACCTAATGCCTAATAGACCCTGCTCACTGGGGGAAAAGTATTCTGAAGTTTACTGCCAGGCTCATGGGTTCAGCCAGGGCAGGGCTTCTCAGATGGCAGTGCAGTGCAGCAGTTCTTAAGAACATGGATTCTGGAGCCTGGCTCCCAGCTTCCATTCTTGGCTCTGCCACTTACTACTTTGGGCAAGTTGCCTAATCTCTCTGTGCCTCAGTTTGCTCACCTGTAAAATTGGGATAATAACGGCATTTACCTTGTAGGGTTGTTGTGAGGATCAAATGGCATAACACATGTAAAGCTCTAAGGTAGGCATGATTGTTGTTTTTGTTATTTGTAATTGTTTTTATTACTGTGGGTGAGGAAAGAATGATCAGATGTTGTCTGTTTTTCAGTTTAGGTTTCTATAATGAAGGGTTGGTATTGAGCCATTGGCAATAAAGCCTTTTAGGAAATGCATTTTGTCAGTTACCTGTGAAGGATGGATTGGCAGAGTGTGGTATTGTGGGGAGGTTTATATTCAGAGTCCATGGTTCTCTGAAGTCTAGGGTAAGCTGGCAGGACTTCCTGAATTCCTGAAATTATAAGAAGAAGAGTGTGCAAAGGGGTGAGAATCCATAGTTCTAGTCAGTCAGTGCTCAAAGGCCATTTGATGGGAAGACATCCATATGCCTACAGGGTCTGGTAATAAGGAGACCTGAGTTTTAGGTTCACCATTTACTTGGAAGAGTTGTGGGCAATTTAGACTTCATTTTTTCCTCTTTGTAAAGTGAGCAGAATAATACATCTCTGTTTACCATATGGCATTATGATAGGATAAAAATAAAGAAGCTGGGTACAGTGGTGTACGCCTGTAGTCCCAGCTACTTGGGAGGCTGTGGTAGGAGGATGGCTTGAGCCCGGGAGTTTAAGGCCAGCCTGGGCAACATAGCAAGAACCCATCTCAAAGCAGTTTGAGAAGATTAAGATATCCATAAATAGAATAAATTCTGTTGTTCAGTTGAATCATACTACTCACTTGCATTCTGCCTTTCTAAAAAAACAGAGTTGTCATCTATCCTGGGACACATGTACCAAGGGCTCATCAGAGCCACAGAAGAGAATGTTTACTGTCTCTACTCACCCCCTTATCCACTATCCTCCCCAGGCACTGTGCCGATTTTCAACTGCAAGCCTTTGTGCTGTTTCCTGAAGTATTTGTTCTTTCTACTTCTGATCATCTAAACTCCACTCATCCTTTCATGCCTAGCTTATGTCTCACCTCTTCCCTAAAGCTGTTTGATTATTCCAGCCACACAGACTTCTCTCTTTTCTGAAATCTGCAGATCAGCACTGACTTATTCTTCAGCTGGCTGAGATTTCTAACTCCTTTGTAAATGCCTTGGGTATAAGAGCCATGGTTAGTTAATATATGTACATCCAAAAGCACATGAAAGAGAAGAAATCTGTCTGTACAGTAGAAAAAGCACAATGGAGAATGGCTCCTTCTCTCTGCCTTTTACCCTGTGTGTGTCCTTGGGTAAGTTATTTAAACTCCTTTGAACTTCAGTTTCCTCAACTGTAAAATGGTGATAATACCTACTTCAGGACTGCTGTTCAGCTTAAATGATATGAAGCTGTGAGCACGGTAACGAGCACATAGTAGGTATTCAGTTAATGTTGTTTTGACCCCCTTCTCTCCTGCAGGGGAAGACTAGGGATGAGGGAGAGAGGTGGAAAGGAGATACTGTTAACCCCACCAAAACTCAACATTGAATTATCAGTGGCTTGCCTAATCTACAGAAGTGATGCCTTTTTTGTTTTTGAGACAGAGTCTCACTCTGTTGCCCAGGCTGGAGTGCAGTGGCATGATCTCAGCCCACTGCACCCTCTGCCTCCTGGGTTCAAGTGATTCTCCTGCCTCAGCCTCCCAAGTAGCTGGGACTATAGGCATACGCTACCACCCCCAGATAATTTGTATTTTTAGTAGAGACAGGGTTTCACCATGTTGGCCAGGCTGGTCTTGAACTCTTGACCTTAAGTGATCCACCCACCTTGGCCTCCCAAAGCTCTAGGATTACAGGTGTGAGCGACCACTCCTGGCCCAGAAGTGATGACTTTTTAAACAGGAGTGAGAACTTCTCCTAAAGACTGACACAGAGCTAAAGGACAAAGGGGATGTAAGAATCCTGACATCAGCTAGAGTCTGAGTTTCAGTAGTAAGTTAGCCCAGATCTGTGGGTTTTTATAAAAGAACTCCATGTGGCTGGAATAATCAAATGTCTTGGCTCTTCTCTGAAGCCCAGGGTTCCTTGTAGGATGTGATATGTACTCCATCGACCGAATTAAAGTGCCTTCAGAGGTTCTTAGTGCGGCCCGCTGCAAAGCCCAGGGAGAGAGGGGATGTCCCAGCGGCGAGCAAAAGCAGAATCCTTAGCACCCCCGACCCATGGGGAACTGGAAGGTGGGGACCAGTGCGACTCATCACAGTTCTGAAGATTCTGCACCATTTAGAGACAGTGCAGATTTAGCAATTATTCTGAAAACTCTAACCCTGCTAGAAGATTGGTAGGTTTATTTTTGTTTTTTAAATTGTGTTTCTGAGTAACCCCCTAGGACAGCCTGCTGGGCTGTTGGCTCCAGAGACCAGGCAACAATGACTTTAAAGTGATTAATGCTTTCCCCCTTCATTATTCAAGATAAAACTTTATCATCACAAGGAACTACTTAATCAAAATGACAGGAATCTTCTCAGTTATATGAAATTTATTGGAACGGTTCTTTTTTAATCTCTAGTCATAAAACCATTTTAAGCTGTAAATTTCTTAGCAACATTAATGAACGATTTATTGAAGGGAAAACAAATTGGATTATCAGCTCCCAGCCTGCTTTGGTAACCCAGGTACTTTACAGAAGCTTTTGCCTTTGTAAATAGACGTGCAAGCCTTGCAGAGAGGCAGAGCTCCTGAAAAGTTCTGTGATGTTGAAGTCTTGGAAAGTGAACCCAAGATTTTTATTCACCTTCAAGGCCATCTCATTTGTGCCTCAGTGATGATTTTCTGCCAAGTGGCTAAAATAGAATCAGATTGGAACATGAGCTTTCCTTACTGACCATCAGCTACAATACAATGCTAGGAGTTGAGTTTCCTTTCTTTGTGCTTCATAATCTATGACCCGCAGAGTGCTGCAGTTGCTTCGTCTCCAGCATTATTGATTGGCTTGAGGGTGGCTTTCTCCCCATTTGTATTCCTGGTGACAGCTCTAACATTTTGTGTCTATGGATAAACAGACTTGTGGAGAGCGAGGATTATACGCAGGGAAGCAGGTGGCAGGAATACATTTTGAGAAAGCTCCTCGGGGCAATGGAATTTTCCAGGTAGATTCTTCAGGGACTCACACAACTTTCAGAGGGCTCTGGGAGAAAGCTTGCATCTTTGACAAATAATCAGTGCTTTGCTTGTTTAAAATGTAGGTAACTTACATGTCCGATTTGTGTCCTTCTGAGATGCTGTTCTTGAAAACCTCTGGCCTGTGCCTTGTGCCTGGCTGAGATGGTGGAAATACGGGAAATGGACTTGGAGATGGAAATTTGTGAACAGGTAGTTCACTGGCAAGTGCTCGTGGGATGGACAACTTTGAAGGAATTAGGCAAACAAGATTAAGCAAGGGGAAAATTGGACTGCTGGGCAGTTGTGGCAGAGGCATCACCTAGTTGGCCCCATGTTGCTCTTGAATTGAGACACCCTTCACAGTTGTCCTGCCTTGAGTCAAGGGAACTGGATGTTTATAACCTTCTACCTCTTGACCAGTTATTGATGTGGGCTGCCTCCAGGAAGGGGCCATGTCAGTGGGTGAGGCAGCTCTCTTGGACTAAAAGCAATTCCTGGAGAGGGCTCAGCTGCCAGGAGAGCAAATGGGGCTACCCTTGGTTTGCCTGGTGATTATGTAATAATGGACCTCCTCATTCTCCTTGAGAAACCTTCCTTGGCTTTCTACCCTCACAGAATGATTCCTGCCCTCCTTTGAGTCTGACCTCTGTGTTCTTGTAGCTGTCTCTCTCTTTGCTGGTCTGTGAGGTCAGGGAGCAGGTCTCCTTCATCTCACATCCCCAGCCTTTAGTGCAGTGCCTGTGTTGAAGAGTTAAATGTCTTTATTCCCCCATTCAGGTGACTCTACCCCATCTTTGCCTGTTCCACTTCATCTCTCTGTCCTAAGATGTCAGCATCTTCTTGATGTCATTCCAACCCAAGGGCCTTTAAGGGGAGAGGAAGATGGGAGATGGAACCTATGTCTTGGATCCAGTGGCTCCACTGCTGCCCAGGAAGAGGGGACCAAGGCTGGCTTCCTGGCGCACAGCAAGAACAGCCAAGTCCTGTGATAGTGGACCCCAAGCTGAATTTTCAGGGTGTGTCCATTTGCTCTTCTTCAGCTGTCAACTTGGCTCCCCACTTGGTACCCTGCCGTTAGAGGCTTTGAAAGGGTTGGGGTCAGAGAGGCTACAGAGCTTCCCTAGATTCAGGAGCCTTCCAGATGGAGGGGAGGACATTCTTCTGCTGAGGCCCTTTTAGGATCATGGGGAAGATAGACATACACATTGGAAGGCAGAAGAGAAACTTCAGAAACATGAGTGAAGTGCAGAGTAATAAGACCTAAATTTACCCGTCTGGGTATCGGAGTTACAGTTCACCTAACAATGGGGTTTCATAGCCTCCTGAAGGTTTCAACCCTAGCCCTGCTCAGTGCCCACAGGGCGTCAGACAGTACTCTTCTCTGAGGCCAGAGTGAAACATCTTGGTGTTCAGGGCTGGCTTAGACCCCTGCAGTGTGAGCTTCCCAAATCATTTATCCGTGGACCTCAGCCTCTTTCCCTGGAAATGGGGATATAGGCTCAGAGCTGCTCAGACCACCCAGGGCTCTGCCTCCTCCTCTCCCTCTCTCCCTCTTCCCACCTCTTCCTCTCCCTGTATGGTTTGCTGGGCCGTGGCTCCACCCCGAGTGTATCCACTTCATTACTCTCCAGCTGCCTTCCACTCCTGCCTGGGGCTGACATATTACTAGAAATGGCCCTGAAATTGTTCTCTTCCCTGATAAAATATTCATCACTGGGATCTGTATTTTTATTGCGAACTTAAAGTGGACAGGCTACATTTCTGTTGTCATACATCATGGGCACGCAAAGCCTGCAGTGAGCAAGTGGAACCGGGGCTGCTAGGTTATGAACACTGCATGTGGAGGGGCAGGGAGGGGATGCATTTTAAGAAAGAGAGTAATAATACCGATGATGATGTTACAGATAGGTTAATGATTTTAGCATGAGGGCGCACATTATTGTATAATGAAAGTTTTGTTCACTGCTGCATCCTCAGTGCCCCTTTTAAGGTCTGTCATCGTGCTAGGGGTTCAAAAATATTTGTTGAGCTAATGACTTTGAGGAAAACTCTGACCCTCTCCTAATTCAGCTAGGGTTGTAACCTCAGTTTGCTGCTTTGTCCTGGCTTTTGAAGATGAACTTTGGTGGGATGCGGTACTCTGAGGACTAAGGGAGTTTTGCCCTTTGGTGCTGGTCAGAGCTCAGTGCAGGGTTTGTGCCTTGAAGGTTGAGATTTGGGTTTGGAGACAAACGCACCTTTCTCTACCCAGAGACCAGGCCACCCTCCCTGTGTGTGATTTGTGGGTGTGAGTCTGTGGAGGTGCTGTGAAAGTGTGCATGAGTGTGCAATGTGTGGGAATATACTAGCGAGGAGGCGGGGAGGTTTCAGCTTAAGCCCGTAAAAGTGCTAAGATCCTTTCAATGAGAAGGTGCCATCTCTAAACCAGGAAAGTGGGGTTTCCTTGACTTCCTCTCTTTTGTGATGGATTTATGTGGCACCATCTAGTCTTTCTCAAGGTGTGCCTTGTGGTTCACTGGAGATCTGAGGGTCAGGAGAGAGATGGAGGCACTGAAAGAGAGGGTGCCATCTAGCAATCTGCCCTCAGACCATTTGGCAAGGCTGGAATACACAAGGTTTGTGTTTGTTGAGTGGGTCCCCTGGAAGATGATTGGGCATGAGCCATCCTGCTGGTGTTTTCTCTTCTTCCTACCTCTGTCTTCTGAAGGAAGGCTGCCCACCAGATAAAGGGGGTCCCAGAAGCAAGAGGCTGTATATTGGGCCTCCCGTGATAGAGGCCAGAGGAAGGAAAGAATATGTTGAACTTAAGTGGGATATTTCACACCCAGGGACTTGAAGGGGGATCCCCTCAAGGAACCAATAAAAGTTTTCCACAAAATCCTGGCATTTAGAAACATTTGCCACAAAGAGAAACTAACAACCAACCAATTTGAAGAAGCAGAAACAGCCTACAGACAGAGGCTACCTCCTTGCCATAAGCACTCACTTGAGAAGACCCCTCTGCTGCCCGTAGTTCTACTCACCCTGACCCCTCGCTGTGACACCAGGGTGAAGCCCAGATCAGCAGGAAGAGAAAGCGTCAGCCTCCAGAACCCCTTCTCTGCAAGCTGAGAGAACAAGCAACAGATCTCGCCAGTGCTGGGGACAGGAAGAATTTTAAGTTGTGCGTAAGACTAGAATTGTGAGGTGAACAAGACTGGGAAGTCCTGGAATTGGGCCCTAGTCCTGTTAAGGGAGTTGCTGCCCATCAGTGGGAGTCTGTGGAGAGTGGGCATGACATAGAATAGTTGGGGGCAGTTAGGAAATTGTGAGAAGAAGAGATTCTCTGGACTTATATTTTCAGAGAGGAGTTTGTGCTATTTCAAAGCAGCCAGCCTTTGACACACTGTCCCTCATAACTGTTAGATAACAGGCTGGAACCTATTGGGTATTACCAACAAACCATTGAATTAATGGCTGAAGCCCATATATATTGGTTGACAGACATCCGGGACAGAAATGGTGCCCATCAAACCCTCTTAGAAGCCTAGTGGTAAATTCTGCACTGGTGGCCTCATTAGTATGCATGTGTTGGACTCCAATCAGATCAGGGCTGGGAAGTGTTATTAAGCCCTGTGAGGAGAAGTGGGCCAGCTGAGCCTGATTAATATTGATTGGAATTTCTTCCTACCAATACATTTGCTTATTAATGTCGATGTTTGGAGGCCCTGTTTTTGAAAGCATAGCCATGTTTGTTCTTTTCTCTTTCACATGTCCTTCCCCAATTTTTTTTTAAGACAATTTTCATTTGAAAAAGTATTTTGTGAGGAGCCAGAACGTTAGTGTGCAGGGAGTTTAGTCTATACTCTCATTTCTTTTCTTTTCCTCCCCTTCTCGTGGTCTTTTTCTCGTCTAGTCTCCAGCAGCAAGGGACATGGAGGGCGTGTAAATTGCAGCCCTTCCAGCCTCCTCCCATATTGTCTTATGTTGCCTGACCTCTGGAGAGAGTTTTCCCTCAAGTGGTATCTTTCCCCTGATTTTCTTAAAGATTCAAACAAACAGAACCTTCCATCATTTGAGTCCATTCTTGTGAAAAGGTCAGTTCTCCCAGGGCAAGGGCTATGTCTCTTCTGTTTATCACTGCGTCCTCTAGCTGTGGTCAGTCCTCAGATATTTGTTAGGTGCATGAATATATGATATAAATGCACACATGTCCACCCTGGTTCCCACTGCTCCCTGCTGCTCACCTGAACCCCAGGGGGCTGCCCTCCCTGCTGATCTGCCAACCTGTACTGCCTCCTTTCCTCTCATCGCCTTTGGGCTTCCAAACATCCTTCCTCCTGCTGATACACAAATATACCATCCTTTGGGCCCAGAGTGGCCTCCAAGAGGGGAGCTGATATGACAGCTTCACTCTCTTGCCATGTTTGATTGATTGCAGTTTGGCAGATGTTGTTGATTAGCTCTTTGAGTTGGAGACTGGTACTGATGAGACCAAGATGATAGAATTTAACTTCATATAATTTGCCCAAGAATAACAACTCATGGACCACAGATTTCACCCCTAACCTAGCCAGCCACTCATGAATGGGTGTGATTTTTTCTGGTAAAGTAAGGATATAAGAGTCAGCATAATCCAATACCACTGGAAAAACAGCTCAAAGCCACTGACCCCCTGAAGGGCTAGATAAGCAGTTTCCTCTTTTAAATGAAGGACAGCGTAGGATTGTGGCTGTAGAAATAGGGGATGGGACCCAGATGTGAGGCTTCCTGCAGACAGTGCTGATTGTCACCCACACTCACAGCAGGGCTGAAGATCAGCCCTTCCCCCTGAATGAGCTGGAGGAGCATGGGGAGGACCCAGTGGTGCCAAAGGCTCACAGGTGAGAAAGAGACCCTAGGAGGGAGACAGAATGTGGCTGGGACCAACTTTGAGCAATGAATGAAATGCATTAAGGTATGAAATGCATATGTTATTAACCAACACTTGCTAAACTGCTGGATATGTGATAGAGAAAGAATGTCTTCATTGTGAGTGGAGGACCCATAATAAATGCCCCCATGAACCTCAAAGTGTCCTTGGAAGGCAGATGAGTCCAAGATAAGCCAATCCCCTCCACTGCTTTCCAACTCCTGAAACCCCTGGTTTAGAGAGTTGAAATTTTGGAATCTTCCCCAGCCTGACGATCAGAACCTAAGTTGCACTTGTACACGAATGTCTCCTGTTTGGGTGGTGAATCAGGCCAGTTACTTTTTGGCTACTGTATTAGTCTGTTTTCACACTGCTGATAAAACATGCCCAAGACTGGGAATAAAAAGAGGTGTAATTGGACTTACAGTTCCACATGGTTGAGGAGGCCTCAGAATCATGGCGGGTGGTGAAAGGCACTTCTTACATGACGGCAGCAAGAGAAAATGAGGAAGAAGCAAAAGCGGAAACCCCTGATAAACTATCAGATCTCATGAGACTTATTCACTATCACGAGAACAGCACAGGAAAGACCAGGCCCTGTGATTCAATTATTTCCCACTGGATCCCTCCCACAACACGTGGGAATTCTGGGAGATACAATTCAAGTTGAAATTTGGGTGGGAACACAGCCAAACCCTATCACCTGTCAAGGAAGAAGTGGGCAAGGCACTTGGCTGGTTATGTGGGTGGCCAGGAGTATGTGGGTGGAGCAGGCCAGAAGACACTGTCCACATGGGCATTTGGGCTCATTTCCTAGAGGGTCAGAAGAGCATTCTTCCCGCTTGGCCTTCAGTGGTATCCTGGAAAAGTGGCTACACTTTAAAAAGAACTGGATCCCTAGGGTTTTTTCTTCCACTTGAGCAGTGAGAATGATTCAACCTTGTATTTGCGGATAATGCTGAATTGTGAGTTCCTTGGTGGCAGAGAGTTTTTCGTTACTCAGGTTTGAATTTCCCATAACACCTAACACAGAGCCTTCTGCCAGAAGATACCCAGCAATTGGTGGGTGGATAAAAAGCCAAGTGAATAGAAAACGTGTTTCACAAAACCTAGTGGTCTCAGTGTCCCTCATAGTTCCAGAAGGAATCAGGATAGTGGGAGCTTTAAAATGAAGGCTGGTAACTCTTTTGCAAAGAAGTGCTGCAGTAGAGTTCTCCTACCTGGCTAAGGTAAGAGGGGCACCCTGTGCTTCTTTCTCTTGTTACTTTATTTAGAAAGAAAGGATGCAGTTGTCCCTAAGAGCAGATGCTGGCCGCCTGCCAGGACTTGCCTTTGGGTCTTATCTGTTTGTGTTGGCTTGAGCAGTTTGTAATGATTGTAGAGGGAGCATAAGGGGGAAGGGATAGGGAAGAATAAATGTGCTTTCCACAGGCAGGAAATTGATGAGGTAACTTTTTTCTTGCTGCTTTCTGGTCCATTTTGAGAGGCTCCTGGTAGACAGAGCTTACAGGCTTTGGTGAAGTGAGGAAGAGAAATGTTTTATTTCCAAATGGGTAAGCAGTCTCTGCCATTTTCTTTGAACCTCCAAAATAGCTCTATAGGAAAAAGGCTTTTGAGCCATTCAGAATTTTGCCAGTTATTCTTGAGGCCAGGCATGCATGGGTTGGGGTCATGTGGCTGGGATGATGGGGCATCCTTGGGAAAGGTGCAAAGAGAAATTAAAAAGGAAGGTGCGGGGCTGTCTTGGGTCACCTTAGTGCTAATGATGAGGTCCTGTCTGGAGTAGTGAGGAGACTGTGCTTCTAAAGTTTCTGTTTATTTCATAGTGATATCAATTAGTGACTCATGGAATTAGATGGTATCTAACTTGGTAGAATCCCGTTCGGTCAGTTCATTGTCAGTTGATAGAAATTTGCTGAGCATTTGTTACGTGCTTGGCATTCCCATAGATATCACAGAGCATGAAGACTTATAAGGCAGAATCCATATGCCTAGGAAGTTTCAGCCTAGTTCAGATTATAGTCAGGCTGTAGCCTCTTATTGTGCTTTATTGTATTTTTAAAATAGTAATCTAAAAGTATTTACCTATTCATTTGCTTTTCTGTTTAAGTCTTCCCCTACTAGAATATTTCATGAGGGCAGGGACCTTCTCTGTACTCTTCATGATTTTAAATAAACAGTTTAATCTCTGTCTACTTGGCCCACAGTAGGTACTCAGTAAATATCTGTTGAATAAATGGAGTGGATAAGTGCTACAGGAGAGGTTAGTTGGTAAAGGTTGATGTGAAGCAGGATATAGTAGCAAATCTAGTTTTAAATTCCATTCAGCATTTATTATTCAGCACCCCTTATACATAGATCATAGCTCACTTTGCAGAGTTGCTCTGATGATTGGAAGTGGTGGAGCTAGGATTTGGACACAGGACTGTCTGACTCCTAAACCTTCATCTTTCCGCCATACAATTATGCCATTCACAAAAATGGCCAGGTTTTCCCACCAAATGTCCTGGAGACCATAGGTCAGAGACAGAAATCCAGATCTGGTCTCTGTGTGCTCAGAACAGGATTTTATTGTGACAATATGCTGGCTGCTCTATGGATGAGTGACTTACACAGATGTGGTGGTTCCTTCTTTTGACCATCCAGTCATTGATGTCACCCAGGAAAGTGTAGGTATTTTTTTGTGTGTGACATTATTGAAACAGTGTATCAGACTCTATTATCTGAGAAATTATGGCAATTCCTTCCCAAAGACATTTCTAATGAGGTTGAAAGCCTGCTCAGTCAGGTAATTTGGGAGCAGCTCTCTCTGGTAGTGCCAGGGGATTGGAGGCTTTCATCCACTAATCGTAGAAGGCCCTTTAAGCCCTGGGATCGTGTGTCTTTCTCCTGAGTTGGCTGCCTCTTAGCTCTGTCACTTGGCAAAGTTTTCCTGTGTGCTCCTTTCCCACGAACTCTTAGGATCAAATGAAAACCCTCAGTCCTGAGGCATTCAGTCCTCCAATTTCTCTCTTGTACCCTTCTAAGGACTAGGCCTGACCTTTGAATTGGTATTTAGTTCCTAAAGATGGTCCTTTATTTCTTTGCTTATTACTTCTTAGAATTGTGAACAAAAACAAGGAAAAGAACACGGTGAGAATATGTGTGACTTCCTCAGAGTCAAAGGTTTTTTTCCCCCACTTAAAAACAATGGGAATGTCCATATCTCACCTCTCTCATGCTTTGTTGGTTTTCCCCAAGTTGTTCTGAGACTTGTTTATAATGGGAAGTTATTCCCTGAGGAGACCTCTGGCTTCTTGGGGGCTCACCCTACCCAGGGCACTTACCTGTAAGTTAAAAAGAACCTTGTAAAGGGATGACAGCTATGACATCATTCAAGATAAACAGAAGAGGCTGGCCAAGGTGGCTCATACCTGTGGTCCCATTACTTTGGGAGGCTGAGGCAGGAGAATTGCTTAAATCCAGCAGCTCAAGACCAGCCTGGGCAACATAGACCCCATCTCTACCAAAAAAAAAAAAAAGCCAGGTGTGATGGCAGCACCTGTAGTCCCAGTTACTCAGAATGCTGAGGCAAGAGGATGGATCACTTGAGATCAGGAGTTTGAGGCTACAGTGAGCTATGATCATGCCACTGCACTGCAGCCTGGGTGACAAAGTGAGACCCTGTGTCTTAAAAAAAAAAAAAAAAAAAAAAAAAAAAAAAAAAAAACCAGAGTAGAATGTGGTGGATCGTTTTTTTCCTCTTTCTTTTTGATTTTAAAGACCTTTCAGATTAAGAAATGTCAAGTCCTGAGCTGCACTGACCATGGAGAGTGAAGGAAGCTAATGATCACTGAGGCCAGTATCTATGAGGTTCTTTGATACATCTTTTCTCAAAGAAAGAAGAGGAAGATGTGGTGAAAATGGTCATCTCCTTTCCAGGTTTAAAACAGAATCCTTTGCCCCGTTCCAGTTTCTAGCTGAGGTGTGGGGTAAGTCCCATAGAACTAGGTGATTTCTTCACTGGCCTGTACCCTTGACCTTCATCATGGCCTCGAGGTGATCTTGGGCCACTTGTTTGGACAGAGGGAAGGCCCTTTGGTTTCATCATAAAGAGTCTGTAGGATTAAAAGTCTGAGAACTTTTGAAAATAAATCTATTCATAGTGTTTAAATATGAGCAGGGTACTTAACCATTCTGCACCTCATTTTGCATAAATGTTGTATAAATAAGTCTAAATGTATAAATAGGTCTAAATGAAGAGGTTGGGCAAAGAGAGTTAGCACGGCATGGTGACAGGATGCCACTTTCAGAGATAGATGTGAGTCTAAATCTGTTTCCTCATCTGGAAAATGGGGGTTTTCTACCTCATATCATAGGTTTACGTGTGGCAAGTGCCCAGCCATCTGCCTGGTGCCTAGAAGGTGCTCAGTAAGTGTTCATTCTTACCCTTGTTTTACTGCTGCTCTGTATGCTACTCACATTACCTTAAACTGCTGTCATTTTCTCTTTTTTCTGCATTTATTTTATTTCTAATTGACAAATAATAATTGTATATATTTATGGGGTATAATGTGATGTTTTGATATATGTACACATTGTGAAGTAATTGTCAAAGTAATTAACATATTTGTTGCCTCCACGTACTTATCATTTTTTTGTGGTGAGAACATTTAAAATCAATTCTTCTGGCTGTCACTCTCAATGTTTGTTTTGTCTGTCAGGCTGAGGATACACTCCCTGAAGGTGGGGACTGTGTCTCTGGCATCTTCATTTTCCTCAATGTGTCCAGCACAGTGCCTGACACCTGATAGTCACTTACTAACTCCTTCCAGTGCATAGTGGCTGCTCATAGTAGATGTTGAGTTAAATGAATGGATGAATATGATGGAGACTAAACAAATACAATGTAAACTTACACCCTGTTGTATCAACCACTACAGAGCACTGGTGTCATGGGCACTGATGAAACCTTAATTATGAGATTACAACTTATAGATATCATTCAATAAACCAGCTCAGTTTTAAGTAGCTGTTGAACACTTAGGAGATAGAGAGTTGACTGCTGTTTCAAGAGCACCCTTTAGTGTAAACAATATTAGCAGCACAAATCAAGCACTAATTAGAGAAGGTAGTTGGAAAGGATATATATTTTTCTAATCTGCATCGTTGACGTTGGGGGCTTCCACTTAAACAACACATTAAGGAATATCACACTCATGAAGAAAAGAGTATTTACCAGAAAGTCTTTTCAATCCAATCACCAAGGGCCAAGGGGTGGGGGGTGGGTAAAGAATTTTGAATTTGCTGCAGATGTCCTGAGGCCATTCATGATTTGGAGAGAGGAGCGGGGCTCCTTGCTTGCTCTTTCCTTTTGCTTCTTTGAGATGTTTCTTTCTGCTGAGGTGAGTCTTTGTCACAGCTAACATCCAACATCTACTGAGCGCTTGCTGTATGCCAGGCATGTTTTGAGCTCTTTGTGTTCAATGTCTTGGTTAAGCTTTATGATATTCCTGTGGTGGGTTTTTTTCTTTTCTTTTTTTTTTATTATACTTTAAGTTTTAGAGTACATGTGCACAATGTGCAGGTTAGTTACATATGTATACACGTGCCATGTTGGTGTGCTACATCCAGTAACTCGTCATTTAACATTAGGTATATTTCCAAATGCTATCCCTCCCCCCTCCCCCCACCCCACAACAGGCCCCAGTGTGTGATGTTCCCCTTCCTGTGTCCATGTGTTCTCATTGTTCAATTCCCACCTATGAGTGAGAACATGCGGTGTTTGGTTTTTTTGTCCTTGCGATAGTTTGCTGAAAATGATGGTTTCCAGCTTCATCCATGTCCCTACAAAGGTGGGTTTTATTGCCTCCACTAAGGATCAGGAGCCTGAGGCTCAGAACGGATAAACTTGGCTCGGAGCCTCGCAACTTGTAAGTGAAGGTAGGATTAGAATCCAAGGGTGAATCCATGCCTTAACCACTATACTTTGAGGCCTCTCCTTGGTTTTAATGCTTCTGGGTCAAGTGATTCCGCCTGTGGTAAGTACCTAGAGGGAATACAGAAGGGTACTGGGCATGTGGGATATAGATTCTGGAACAGATGAGGTCTCAGCCCTGTGGGGTCCAAATATAGCTAAGAAAATGAAGCAGCTGAGCAACTGTATAATTATCCAAACTGTAAGAATTTAGAAATAGCAGAAAAGATCATGTTAGGGGCCGGGGATCATAATTTGGGTTTGGAAGATGGATGATGTTAATCTGAGATGGCTTCCAGAAGGAGCCTAAAGGTGAAATCAGAGTAGAGTGGGGTGGAAGGCAGTTTATGGGATAGTGGGTGGAAAGCACGATGGGGAGGGTTCTTCAACATTGCGGTGGAGTGAAGTCCAGGGAGAGCCTCTTCAGATCCCCTTCACAAGGGCACTCTTGCACAGTGATTCCTGGAGGCTGATCATGGGAGAGCAGGGAGTTGGGAACCACTTCTTATCTATTCAGTGGTGCTCTCAGCAACTGTATGACAGATCCAACTCTCAGCATAGGTGTGAAGGAGAGAACTTGGTTTTGATACTTCTCTGATATTTTCCCCTCAGCCCATTGTTATTCTGTTCCATAACCTCATATTGGGTCTTCACCATGCCAAGTTACTTGGGCTGGCCTCCTCCAGGGTGTACCCCTCACTTCAGCTCTTTTCTCTTCCTCCTTGCCTTCCAATTCATTTGGAAGATATTTCTTGAGCATGTACTGTATGTTAGCATCAGTGTATTATTAGCCTCAGTGAGTGGTTGACTAGCTGGTTAAGGTGATAGATGAACTCATACTACATTGTTTTTGTTTGTTTGTTTGTTTGTTTTGAGATGGAGTCTCATTCTGTCATCCAGGCTGGAGTGCAGTGGTGCAATCTCAGCTCACAGCAACCTCTGCCTCCTGGGTTCAAGTGATTCTCCTGCCTCAGCCTCCTGAGTAGCTGGGGTTACAGGAACGTACCACCATGCCCAACTATTTTTTTTTTTTTTTGTATTTTTAGTAGAGATGGGGTTTCACCATGCTGGCCAGGCTGATGTGGAACTCCTGACCTCAAGTGATCCGCCCACCTCAGCCTCCCAAAGTGCTGGGATTACAGGCATGAGCCACCGCGCCTGGCTTCACTATATTGTTAATGTGCTGATGTGGTCTCCTAGTGTGAGCACGTAGAAGTTAAGAGACAGAACCATGAGTGGTTGCTGATACTTTTAGAACTAGGCAGAGAATAAGTAGCCTGAGAGGGAGCATGAGGAGCAGTGGCTCTAAAGATGAAAACAGAGAGCTCCATTGGAGCCACAGAAGCAAAAATGTGAACAAGGAAAGTCATGTGGAAGGATGCTCATGATTAGGTGAACAGAACAGTTTCCTGAAGTGGAATGTATGCCATCCTATTCTTATAAGAAGTATGTGTCTATGTGTATTTATAGAAAAATGTCATAGAGGACATACACAAAAAGGTCATTGGTAGTTCTGGATTTTAAAAAATACTTCTAAAGGTAAGGAGTACAGTAGTGGTAAGACATAAAGCAGAAATTATCTAAAGAGGAAAGTGGAGGGCACTGTCAATGCACAATGTAATAGATAGGACAAATAAGAGAGAGACACAGATGTAGCCATTGGCTGTGACAATATGGAGGTCTTTGATGACCTTGACAAAAGCTGATGGAATGGGGAGGGGAGGGGAGGGGCAGAAGTCAGACTGCAACAGGTTAAGGAAGAAATGGGATGGGGGGTCACTTAGAGACTGTGTGTAGACTGCTCTTTCAAGGACCTTAAATACCTGCTTTTAAAAAAAGCCATTAGGATTGAGGCTGGAAGAAGTTGTGGATGAAAGAAAGACATTTATGAAATGGGAAAGACTGGAGTGCATCTTTAGGTTAAGGAAAGAACCAGTCAGATAAGTTGGATAGAGATACTGGAGATGGGAGGTGGGAAGGGGAAGCATGGTTCCTCAGGAGGCAGAAGGAGATGGAGCTAACAAGCAGAGTTAGCCTTAGTCGTGGAAAGGACATCTCTTTAACTATGGGAGAAGGGACAAATCGTGAATGGACATGTGCCGATGGTGATAAAGATGATGTATATGGTTCGGGAAGGAGAGGGTGCTCATATGATGGTCTTCACTTTCTCAGAAAAAAGTGGTAGATGCAAGCTCTGCTGTGAGTTAAGTCTGCCCTGAAACAAATGTCACCACAGGCATCCTCAGTATTAGGTTGGATGTAAGCTCTTAGTCTGATCTGGCATGTTCCTGTACATCTCTGATGTGTTGCACAGTATCAGCATGTAGTAGATGCTTAGAAAATATTTGGTGATGATGCAAATATATGGTTAGGAAAACAATGTGGCATTCCTAGTCTGTTCTTCATTATTCCTGTCGTTCCATGAATTCTCCTTCTATTTCTGGCTCCATAATACCAGAGGAACACAAACAAGGAAGTATCTAAAAAAACAGAAACGATGACAGTGAGAGAGTTTGGAATCACAAAGAATGGACAAAGAAGCTGAGAATCTGTAGCAGGCAAAAGCAAGCTTTTGGAGAGACCCAAAAGCCCTCATCAGCTATTTTGCAGGCTGCCAGTTGGTGGGTTGGTATTTGCTCTGTGTTTCTTTGAAGAGGAGAGTCAGGACCAAGCAGTGAAAAGCACCAGGAAGCATGTTTTCTTCAACCTAAGTTGTCTAAAAGTAGAAAGACTGTTTCACAAGCTGAGATCTCCTGGCCGCTAAGAGCGTGGAGGTATAGGCTGGATGGCTCTTGGTGTGGGTGTAGCTCAGGGGTCTCTGGGCAAGACGGCCTCTTGGATCCCTTCTAGCTCTAGCGTCCTCTGTGCCAACTATAGGGGGTCATTCTTGGCCTCTGGACCTCGTGCTGTCATCAGGAGTTTCTACCAGATTTGAGTAGAAATGCACTGAACTTTTTTTATCACCTCATAGTTAGTTGGATACTTTATCTAGATCTGCCATGCTTTGCTGCTACAATGTTGGTTTAGGTTCACAAACATGACCCTGAACACTTAAAGTTGCCAAAAAATTAGCAAACGAAATAGGGTGGAAAGCCCAGAACATGATGATTGACATTTACTAGAGGCTCAGTAGATATTAAAAAGCTAGAAAATATTAAACATTGTCTTTTTAGTGTTAAGCATATAGGTTATCTATATTCAATATTTGTAGTAATCATGGGGAAACAACTTGGTCTAGTGATGATGTGGACAGGAGACAGGGAAATACTGGGCAGAAGAGGGTGGTTCCCCAGCAAAGGCCCCATCCTCAAGCCTGGATACCCATGACCCTAAATGAGAACAGGCATTCTTGTTTTTGTTCCCAAAAGTTGCCTTCGCAACCATCGCACCCCTATCCTGTACCCATATAAACCCCAAACCCCAGGCTCCAGAAGCAGATGAGGAGACAAGGAGATGAGACAAAGAGATGAGCTGATGAGTGGCAGAACAGCATGGCAGAGAAGGGGAGAAGAGAAGGAATGTCTGAATGCTGAGAGGAGTTCAGCTGGTGATGATCAGAGGGGAGATCGGCCGCTAGATGGCCAGACTCCAGGGGAAGACCATCTTTCCACTCCATTCCCCTTCCAGCTCCCTATCCATCCCACTGAGAGCCACCTCCACCACTCAGTAAAACCCCTGCATTCATCCTTCAAGTCTGTGTGTGACCCAGTTCTTCAGGGATGCTGGACAAGAGCTTGGGATACAGAAAGCTGTCACACTGGCCCCCTGCCCTTGCAAAAAGGAAGAGGGTCCACTGAGCTGGTTAACACTTAAGCCATTCACAGATGGCAAGGCTAAAAGAATGCACTGTAACACATGCCCATTTGGGCTTTGGGAGTCGCAGCCTCCCACCCCTTGATGCTTCTATGGGGCTGGAGCCCAGGGATGCTTGCTCCAGCTCCTGCACATCTCTGTCTCTGTGCCCCCCCTCCAATAAGGGGTTAGAGCAATGGTGGCAACCAAACAGAGGATGCACATCCCTGTTGCACATCCTGTGAGGGGTGTCAGGGAACTCTACCATTTCATCAAGAATAGTGCCCATTTTGAAATCAGACAAACCCAAGTCTCAGTTTCTCCTCCACCATTAGCTGTGTAGCTTTCTTACTCTTAGACATTTCAGATCAAAGAGAACGTGCATCACTGTAATTTTCACCAGTGGATGAAAAGTTCTGCTCTTTGATGCAACATGGGACAAACTGACCAGTTCCTCAGGTAGGGAAGTAAGTAACCTCTCTGAGCTTTATTTTCCTCATCTGGAAATTAAGGGAGGTGGAAATTTCCCAGAGTAGTTTCATAAATTGAGTAATACCTGTAAAATGTTCAGCGCAGTACCTGGTTCACAGTGAGCAGTCTTCATTTATCTCTTTTCTTTATTTATCAAAATATTTAACTCAATGGAAATCCTTTGCTGATTATCAGTATTGTCCCTAATACACTATTGTTTATATACTGTCAGTATAGTGATCATTTGTTTTACATTATTTCTCCATTCCTTTCCATCCCTTTTGCCTTTTTAGATCATCGTGTACAATCCTATGAGGTGAGCTGGGCATAGATTAGAAAATTTATGTCCTAGATGGAGATGCTGTGGCCCAGCATAGGTCACAGCTGTTAGGGTTATAGAGATGGAGAGAGAGCCTTGCTTATACCCAGGGACCTGCTTGCTGAGCCAGCCTTATTCTTGGGGGACAACTAACATCCAGATTTTATAGCTGGGTGCCCTTGGTTCTCAGGTAACTTGTTAAGTGTGAAATTATGAAATATATATTTGATCTTCCTCCCAGTTTCCTGACATACAACTCCTAAAATCCTTGGAATCTCTAAAGTTATGTGTCTTTTTGAATGTTAAGGAGTTGACTGGTGGCTGGCAGCCCCTTAGTAGCTTCAGGATGAGGCTCATCACTAGAAAGACCAATGCCTGATGAGACAGATGGGACTTTCAGCCCCATCCCTCAACCTCTGGGAACGGGAGAGTGGCTGAAGGTTAAGCTGATCACCAATTATTTAATCAATCATTCCTACATAATGAAGTCTCCATAGAAGTCCGAAAGGACAGAGTAATGATGAACTTCCAGATAGCTAAACATGTGAAGGCTCTTGGAGGGTGGTACACCCGGGGAGGGCATGTAAGTTCTGAGCTCCTTCCACCATATTTTGCTTTATGCATCTCTTCATCTCTATCTTTTGTGATAATCTTTATAATAACAATTTAGGGTAGATGTAAGTAAGTTTCCCTGAGTCCTATGAGCTGCTCTAGCAAATTAATCAAACCCAAGGAGGGAGGGTCGTGGGAGCCTCAATTTATGGCTGGTTATGTTACCGATGGAGGGTGTCCAGGTTGTTGGCATTTTGAACAAAGAATTGGGCAAAATGCACAAAGCAAGGAAAGAATGGAGCAACAAAAGCTGAGATTTATTGAAAATGAAAGTATCCTCTATGGGGTGGGAACATACCCAAGCATAGGGGCTCAAGAGCCCCGTTAGAGAATTTTCTGGGGTTTAAATACCCTCTAGAGGTTGCCATTGGTTACTTGGCTTATGCTCTATGTAAATGAACAGGATCAAGTAAAGTTACAAAGTCATTTACTCAGTGTAGGCCCTGTGCAAATGGAGAGGCTATTTCCTGTCATAGCTGAAGTGTTTCCATTTGATTTAGTTCTAGGAAGTCAGCATGAATCAGCTTTATTTTCCTGACCTCCAGACCCTGTTCTCCTGCCCCAGTTGGTCAAAAGCACAGGTAAAACAACTTGGGGCCTGTGATTGGCATCAGAAATGGGGCTCAGTTTTGTGGGGACAAGTCCCCAACCTGTGTGATCTGACCCTATCTCCAGGTAGATAGTATCAGAATTAAATTGAGTTAGAGGACACCTAGCTCATGTCACTCCAGAATTGCTTGCTTGCTTGGTATGTGGGAGAAACCCCCCACACATGAGGTGTCAGAAGTATAGCAGCAGAGGCCGGGCACAATGGCTCATGCCTGTAATCCCATCACTTTGGGAGGCCGAAGCGGGCAGATCACCTGAGGTCAGGAGTTTGAGACCAGCCTGGCCAACATGGCGAAACCCCATCTCTACTAAAAATACAAAAATTAGCCGGGTGCAGTGGCGGGCACCTGTAACCCCAGCGACTCGGGAGGCTGAGGCAGGAGAATCGCTTGAACCTGGGAGGCGGAGGTTGCAGTAAGCCGAGATTGTGCCACTGCACTCCAGCTCGGGCGACAGAGCCAGAGTCTGCCTCAAAAAAAAAAAAAAAAAAAAAAAAAAGCGTATAGCAGCAGAATCTGAGTTTGTGTTTTCCACTCATTGAGAAAGGCTCATTTCATTTCTTTATAATGTACCTACATGTCTTTTTGTAGTCTACCTTTTGGATTTTCCATTGTAATGTACAATTACATTTTTTAAATTTGTCAACTTTTAGGATTTTTTTCCTTGATTCAGGAAGGCAAGGATAATCTTTTTCCTCTGACACTGACTTTGCAAGAGGTTGTCAGTGATATTAGCGATACATTGGGATTGATGTCAGGTAGCCAGTAGAGACAAAATTCAAACCATCTCCTGCTTTGTATATCCACTTCTTTATCTCAGATGTGGCTTTCTCTATGCACCTGTCCCTGGGAGCCACCCCTCAGAATCAACCCCTTCATCCCCCAGCACATGCAAGTTGCCTGTAGCTCCAGGCTGCATTTATTTCATTCTGCTTCAATTTGTTTTTTTTTAACTGTACCTTTAGATGTTTAATATACCTCTAGACTGACTGCCCCAGGCAAGCACAGATGTTTCAATCCCTCTTTATATTATCCCTATGCCTAGCCTATAGTTGGTACTCAGCCTATTTTTTATAGGCACATTCCTTTCACAAACACAAATACACACAAAAATGATTGGGGAGCCAAGAGAGGCTTGGTTTGATTCTAGTGGACAGTCACTATACAGTTTATGTGATACCAGGTTATATAGGTGCAACCCTGAGCCACCATTAGAGTTTATGTGCTTTGTTCCTAGAAACTTGCACCCTGAAAGGGAGACATTTTACCTTAGCACTGTGAGAAGGGAGTAATGATCTCTAGCCCACATTCTGCTCTGGAATTACACCCCTAGGAAGTATTTGAGCTCATCCAGAGCCATGGGAGGGGGCTCGGTCCTTTGCCAAGTCCCATGCCCTGCCCAGACCATGATCCTGGGAGATGTCTTACTCCCAAGGGGACTTTGGATGAGGGTCCTCTAGAGAGCTGTGCAGCCCTGTGAGGCTCAGCAGAGACCCTGGTGCAAGCTTTAAGAGTGGTGTTGGGCATGACAATGTACAGTGTAGCCCCTGGGAACTAGGGACTCCTGGAGGGTGTGAGAGATGCTGGAAAGAACACGGAGGACTCTGCAGCTGTGCCAGAGGCAGCCATGTGCCCAGGGGCTGGTGCTACTGAGGAAGACAGCGAGCCACAGACCCACCACCCAGGAGTGCGTGTGGAGTGGAGCAGAAGGATAGGCATCAGGCTAAAAAGACCTTTGCGCTGATGAAAGTTGGGGGTCACCCTTGGCATACATTCTAACATAGAGACTTTTCATTCTCCAAGCAAGCTCCTCACTGAGGAGCTATAATAGTGTGATTTGAAGTGACTGAGCTGCAGGAGAAGTCACTTAAGGCAGTGCTGTCAAGTCATAAGGTGACGCAGCAGGAAAGTGGTGCTAACTAGATGGGCTAGGAATATTGGCCCCACAGGTGAACTCTGAAGAGTAGCTTGGTTGCCCTGATCAGTCCAGCCCATTCTTACCCCATAAGAGGGGTAAGTGTTAAAGCCCACAGCTTTACCTTAAACCCCGTGCTTTGCAGCATGGACAGTCAGCCTTCTCTCCTGGCCTTCTCATTTAGGTAAATAGGGAATGCTCTTGAAGGAGGCTCTCCCAATCTCCTGGCCTCGGCCGTCGAATTGAAAAAGGGTCTGCTTCTTAACCTCTGAAAATAAACTGTCTGATCTGTGCTACCTAAGGCAAAGATGGCGAGCTCTGGATCAGCTACTTCTGCCCTTCACCTTGTCTTTGGGCATGAACCAGATACATAGCATCTCCTCCATGCCTTTCCCTTTCTTGTCAGGAAAGCTAATGATGTTGGAGACCCAGACCTGCTGATTTGGTTACTGGCCGTTAGATTCAAGTCAACACATGCAGCCTGGGTAAATGAGGCTCTACAGGCATGCGGGCGCTTGGAGGGCATCTCTTTGTTCTTTGGCTCCATGAAATGGCTCTGCTTGGCAGCTGCCCCTTGCCTGCAGTTTCTCCTGTCATGGTCTTGGAAGGCAGGACCATGGTGTGGGTGGGAAGAGCTTGGAACAGCACATCTTTCATTTGGACCCAGCTGCTTCTCTGTATCCCCACACTCAGGACCTGGCTTCTCTCTGCAGCAACATTAGCCGCCTATACTGGAGAGTGACTAATAACTCATCTTCTCTGCCTGCCTTTCTCAGGGGTAAGGTAAAGTCAAGCTCAGTACTCTTCGAGCCGTGAAACTTCTTTTCTCATCTTGACTCCACTTGAGAGGGAGCCTTCCAAGCAAGTGAAATGCCATCAGTACGGTGCACTTCTTTCCCCAACCCTTGGGAAGTGGCTGTTTCCTAGCCTGGATCACTACATTAATATCCAGATCTACAGCTGACATCTTTGGATTTCTTATGACTTTATTGCATGAACAGAAGCATTTTTAATCTACAGAAGACTCTGCTTTGTGTGACACACGTTTAATGTCATCCTTAGACTGCCTCTATCTGTAAAATGCCAGCTCTTAAAATATTAATCTCTAATGTGCACTCAAGACTTTACTCAATTACCATGGGATTTTTCAAATAAGCATCATCATTCCCGCAGCCCTGACTGCATTAAGAGAAAAATGCTTACCGGCCCATTGTTTCCTGAGCGTGGGATGATGGTCTTGCTTTGTTTCCGTAAATGTTACACTGGCACGGCTGTGTTGGCTACTGCAGATTTATTGTCATTCATGCCCAAGCTCAAGCATTATCAGTTTTCCTTTCCAGTGCCAAACTTTAAAAGGTGCCGTCTCTGATAGGGATCGTGAATCATAATTATGGTAAATGAGAGGCAGTTGAAACTGTTCTGTCAAAGCTGATTTGTCAGAGTGCGGATTTCAGTCCGGAGAGGGAGCAGCCTCCTCATTACCACCAGCAGTCATTCCACTTTGATTATTTTTTGAAAATCACATCAGTTTCAAAGACCTTTATTTTCCTTCTCCCTGAAGACAGTCTTGAGTGTCAGTGTTTTGTGAGGGGTACCCATATAATACGTGCTGGCATTTTCTCCCACTTTTATCCCTTTCTGGGTATTGAAACCCACCTGTGGCCACCTTAGATGACCATTTTCATTTCCAGTGTGTATTTAAGAAAGCCCAGGATACAATAGAAACGTGCTACTAGGAAACAGTTTGTTACCTTGAGTCAAGATTCATCTCAGGCTTCCTACAAGTAACCTCCTTTGGCTGGGTTTTGTGGCTCGTGCCTGTAATCCCAGTGACTTGGGAGGCCAAGGTGGGAGGATTGCTTGAGGCCAGGAGTTTGAAACCAGCCTGGGCAACATAGTGAGACCTGGTCTCTAAAATATATAAAAAAAAATGTAGCTGGGCATGGTGTGTGTACTCGCGGTCCCAGCTACTCAGAAGGCCGGGGTGGGAGGATCCCTTGAGCCCAAGAGTTTGAGGCTGTAGTGAGCCATGATTGCACCAGTACATTCCAGCTTGGGCAACAGAGTGAGACCCCCCACTCAAACTCTCCCCTGTGCATTTTGCAGTTGCCTGTGCATTTTAATTTTGGTTAAAAGACCAGAGTTAACTTCATGGCAGCAGAGGGGTAGGGAAAATGGGGAACTCAAAAGCATAAGCTAATATTTCAGGAGCTCTGTGTTCTGAAATCCAATTAGGGAAGACAGATCCCCTCTGCTTTGATAGAAACCAGTAGCAAACAGCACACTATTGTGATATTTTGTAACTCTTCAAGAGCATCTATGCTTATGTCCCAAATGTTCCGAGACCTTTATAGACCTTTCGAGAGGCCTCATTCCCTGGTTCTTTCCTAGCCCTTGAGCTGTTCCCAGTTGTAAATCAAAAACCAGGAAAGTGACTGCCACTGAAATCTGTGACCCTGACTCACTCATCCCTACATCTGCTCTGCCCTGCTCTGTGCTCCAAGGTGCTTTTCAAGGGTCCTGACCCCACGCTACTCTTTTTGTGACCCTCGAACACACTGGAATTGAAGTGATGTGCCTGGCTAAGGAAGAGGTATTGTCGGGAAAGTTAACCCAAGTAATCCAGCACAAAGGCCAACTCTCGTTGGCCTCCTGGACCCCATCCCCTTGCAGATATCAAATACTGACAGGCCCAGCCATGGTTTTATTTGAGGCTTTTAAAGTTAAGGTCCCATATGTTAAATATCACAACTTGAGTACTTTAATTTTAAAAACATGTAACCCTGGAGTTTTGCTTTGTGGTTAAATCTCCCTTTTCTTTCGGTAGTTCCAGCAGCTTTCTAGGAGAGGTTGGCATTGGCATGTGTCCCCCCATCAGTCCCCGCCAGCTGTCCCTTTTGCTCAGGGTATCTCCTGTTGGTATCTGTGATTTAGTCTGACTTTGTAAATATTCCCTCCAAACCCCACAGCACTTTAGAGGAGAACACAGTGGCAGCAGACATAAACAATGACACTTATGAAGCCACAGTTTCTAGCTGGAGAATCATCTTTTGTTTACAGGGAGTGACAGTCAAAAGAAGAGGCAAAAGAGATGAACCAGGGAAATGAGAGGGATGAAGGAAAGAGCAGGAGACAAAGGAAATTCGCCAGGATTTATTGAGCATCCTCCTGAATTTGGAGTCTAAATTAGACTCTGGTGGAGTAAGAAGGGAAATGTTATAATTCTGTGTTGCAGATATTGATGTAAGGTGAGGAATCCTGCATGCTGTCAGGCCTGGTGAGGTAGCTCGGAAGTACTAAAGAGCAGCATATCAGCAAGTTGAAAGAGATCATCTAGATTGAGATGAATGCATGAATCTTAAAGAGGTAAAGAATCAAAGGGTGAGATTGGCTGGGGAAATTTTCCTGGAAGTGAATGTTAAACCCATTTTGAAAGATCAAATGTTGGAAAAGACTGGCCAGGAGCCTTCTGTGGCTGGGGGATGGGATGGCATGATTACAAGGCCCAGGTTTGGGCAGGAATGAAGTTAATGACTGGGGTGGAGAATCTATTTTGGAGACTGATAAGATGAAATTAGTGGCATAAGAGGCAGTTGGAGAATGACGTAGAAGAAGCCAAACTGATGGGTTTAATTTAGGCCATAACACAATGGGAATCCACTGCAAGTGGGACCCCCTGAAGGTAGGGACTTGCCCACCCTTGTTACACTAAATGCTTCCTGACAACAAAGAACTTGCCTTTTCTTTTCCTTTATATTACCCTTGTCATCTGTTGATTTTTGTTTTTGCTGACTGACCAACCGACCAGACTTTGTGTGTGCAGTACTGGGTTGCTTTGAAAACCTAGAGTATACACCTATCAGGGCCATGGGCCATGGGCCCTGCCTCTGAGGCCCTCTCCATGCTTTTGCTGCCACAAAAGCATTACACCACAAACCCAGATGAGGGATGAAATGCTTCGGGAACCAGCTAGGCATTTCTTTATTGCACTTGTCCTCAGAGCACTTTCTTCTAGAGACTCCAAGGCATTGTACCAGCACAGTAACCTTTAAGTTGCACAAGTTTATTTTATAGTGAACATTTTCCTAACAGCCATGATAAATGAGTTTGAAGATTAGGACCGGCAGGAGTGGCACTGAATAGGATGTGAGTGAGAGGCAGGGATGGAAAGGAAACATCCAGGAGAAACCCATAGTTCACATGCTGATTAGAGGAGGTGTATGTCCAAGATGGTGGTAATTTTGATCCCTGGATTTGGGATCTGCTGATGGAGCAAAGATTGGGAAATGCCTTAGGGGCAAGGGAGGGTGGGCTCTTTCCCCTACCTCTTCTCCTCCTGACTCTGTGGTGGGAGAAATCATGCATCCCTTCCTCATATGGACATCCTTATTGGCCCCTTTACTTCTGGCTTTTAGTACCCCCTACCCCGCCCCCACCTTTTCCTTTGGCCTAGGGAAGCTTATAAATGCTTTCAGCATCGTCTTAGGAGAAAGGTGGGAAGACAGGCAGGCAGCCAGAAAATCTTGGTGGTTATTAAACTGAGGCTTCAAGGACCTTTTTATTAGCAATTAGACTCAGCTCTGCAGCACTAAAGAGTGTAAATTCCCACTGTGTCTCCTTTGCCCAAACCTCCAAAGAATCTGTTTTATATGGTGTTTATTTATAACCCAGAATAGACCTGGGCCTGGGAGCCCTGGGGATGCTGAGACTTCAATGTGCTCTCAAACAGAAGAAGAGGGTTAGAAACCCCAGGGAGGGAAACAGTATATACCCCTTTCTGGTGTACACCTCCCCTGGGCCTTGGCATGTCCCTGTTTGTGACTGAGAGCTAGTTTTGATGCATGACATCTTAAAAAGTGCTTTTGGTGCTTTGCTTTGCTTGTTTGTTTGCAGTCTCTGGTGTGAAGATTGTAATACCACAAAGACACATGTGTCATCAGAACTTTGATCTTCCAGGACATCATTAGATCACTTAAACTGATAAAATGTGTAAACCTGTATAAGGACTTTCTTTAGACAGTTAGTTACTGCAGTAACTCATTATAAGAAAAGGATTTGGTCAGGTGACTTTTCTACTTGGCAGATAAAGGGGGAACCTGAGGGGAAGGGTGACAGTTATTTGATGGCAAAATGTTGGAGATAGACAGAAGTGTAGTAGGTACTGACTTACCCTGACACACCCACATACCCTCTGTAGGCTTCTCTGCAGCCAGTGTTAGGTGTGTGGAGAACAGCTGGCTGTCATCTGGATTAAGCATAATCAACAGGTATATGTGGCTGTTGAATCCATAGCTTTGACCCCTTAGCACTAAGTGACCTGGATCTGATGGTGACATTTTTAGGACTAATGGTTTTAAGTAAAGAACATCCCTGAGAAAGCAGTTCAGTGTTCTTGGTGTCTTCAAATGCTGATGAAAGATATAGGAATGCTACTCATTATGATAATGGCTTTTTAAAACCCCAGCTTTATTGGAGTGTAACTGATACACAAAAACTGCACATATTAATGTGTACAATTTGATGAGTTTGGACATATGCATGCACCCATGAAACCATCAACATAAAGTAATAAGCATATCCATTACCTCCAAAAGTTTCCCTGTACCCCTTTGGGGTGTGTGCGTGTGCGTGTTAAGAACACTTAACATAATGAGAACACATGGACACAGGAAGGGGAACATCACACACCGGGGACTGTTGTGGGGTCGGGGGAGGGGGGAGGGATAGCATTAGGAGATATACCTAATGCTAAATGACGAGTTAATGAGTGCAGCACACCAACATGACGTATGTTTACATATGTAACAAACCTGCACGTTGTGCACATGTACCCTAAAACTTAAAGTATAATAATAATAACATTGAAAAAAAGAAAAAAAGAACACTTAATGTGATTTTCCTTGAATGAAGTATGCTGCTGCTGGCCCATTATTAGTAAGTATAAACCTTTCATGTGTATGCAGTGTTAAAATCTCCAAAGCACTATCCATGGGCACAGCATATCTTTCCATTTTTTGGTGTGTTTACTTTCTTTCATCAATGTTTTATGGTTTTCAATGTACAAATCTTTGGCCTTCTTGGCTAAATTTATTCCTAAGTATTTTATTCTTTGTCATTCTATTTTATTCTTTTTTGTTGTTCTTTTAAAAATGATATTTTTTCTTAATTTTCTTTTTGGATCATTTATTGTTTACAGGAAAGCAACTGATTTTTATGTTACTTTTGTATCCTCTGATTTTACTGAATTTGTTTAACGGGTTTTTTTTTTGCAGTCTTTAGGGTTTTTTACGTATAAGATCATGTCATCTATAAACAGACATAATGTTATTTCTTCCTTTCCAGTTCATATGCCTTTTATTTATTTTTCTTGTCTGATTACTCTGGCTAGTATTTCCAATACTATGTTGAAAAGATGTGGTGAGAGTGGGCATTCTTGCTTGTTTCTGATCTTAGCAAAAAGACTTTCAGTTTTTCAATGTCAAACATGTTAGCTGTGGCTTGTCATATATGGACTTTATTGTATTGAAATAAATTCATTCCGTACCTAGTGTGTTGGGAGTTTTTATCATAAAAGTTTGTTTAATTTTGCCAAATGCTTTTTCTCCATGTGTTAAGATGATAACGAAGGCTTTTGTCCTTCATTCTGTTAATGTGATGTATCATGCTAATTGATTTGTGTAAGTTGAGACATCCTTGCACCTTAGGGGTAGATCCCAGTTAAACATGACGAACGATTCTTTCAACGTACTGTTGAATTTGGTTTGCTAGTATTTTGTTGAATGTTCTTGCATCTATGTGCATTAGGGATATTGGCCTGTAGGATTTTTTTTTTTTTTTTTTTTTTTTTTTCGAAATGGAGTCTCACTCTGTCACCCAGGCTGGAGTACAGTAGTGCAATCTCAGCTCACTGCAACCTTGCCTCCTGAGTTCAAGCAATTCTCCTGTCTCAGTCTTACAAATAGTGGGATTACAGGCATGCACCACCACGCTGGGCTAATTTTTGTATTTTTAGTCGAGACAGGGTTTCACCATGTTGGCCAGGCTGGTCTTGAACTCCTGACCTCATGTGATCTGCCTGCCTCAGCCTCTCAAAGTTCTGGGGTTACAGATGTGAGCCACTGCGCCCAGTTGGCCTGTAATTTTTTAATGATGTCTTTGTCTGGCTTTGGTATAGGGTAATGATGGCCTCATAAAATGAGTTTGGAAGTGTTCTTTTTCTTCAGTTCTTTTGATGAGTTGGAGAAGGATTGGTGTTACTTTTTATTTAAATTTTTGGTAGAATCCACCAGTGAAGACATCAGGTCCTGGACTTTTCTTTGTTGTGAGGTTTTTAATTACTGATTCATTCTCTTTGTTATTAGTCTGTTTAGATTTTCCTGATTCATTCTTGGTAGGTTGTATGTTTCAAGATATATGTGAAAAGATGCTCAATATCACCAGTCATCATGGAAATGAAAATCAAAATCACAATGAGATATCACTTCATATGTGTTAGGATGGCTATTATTTTCTAGAAAAAAAAGATAACAGATGTTGGTGAGGATGTGGAAAAATAGAACTCTTGTACATTGTTGGTACAGCCACTATGGAAAACAGTATGGAGATTCCTTAAAAAAATAAAAAAGAGCTACTATGTGATTCAGTGATCACACTTCTGAGTATACAAAATAATTGAAATCAGTATCTAGAAGAGGTATCTATATTTCCATATTCATTTCAGCATTATTCACAACAGCCAAGATACAGAAATAACCTAAATATCTATTGATACATGAATTGATAAAGAAAATGTGGTATATACATACAATGTAATATTATTCAGCCTCAAAAAAGAAGAAATTCCTGCCAGTTGCAACATCGTGAATGAACATGGAGAATATTCTATTCAGTGAGATAAGCCTGTAACAGAAGGACAAATACTGTATGATTCCAGTTATATACATAAGGCTATGAAGGCGAAATAAGCCCATAACAGAAAGAGAAATACTGTATGATTTCACTTATATGAGGGATCTAAAAATAGTCAAACTCCACATGTATGTAGATGTTTACTGTAGCACTATTCACAATAGCAAAGACATGGAATCAACCTAAAAGCCCATCAATGGCAGATTGGATAAAGAAAATGTGGTACATATCCACCATGGAATACTGCGCAGCCATGGAAAACAATGAGATCATGTCCTTTGCAAGAACATGGATGGAGCTGGAGGCCATTATCTTTAGCAGAAACGGAAAACCACACACTGCATGTTCTCACTTATAAGTGGGAGCTAAAAGATAAGGACACATGGACACACAGAGGGGAATGACAGACACGGGAGATGGAGGGTGGGAGGAGGGAGAGAATCAGGAAAAATAACTAATGGATACTAGGCTTAATACATAGGTGATGAAATTATCTGTATAACAAACCCCTGTGACATGAGTTTACCTATATAACAACCAGCACATGTACCCCTAAACTTAAAGGTTAAAAAATAGTCAAACTCATAGAAGCGAAGAATAGAATGGTGGTTGCCAGGTGCCGGGGGTGAGAGGAAGGGGGTCTTGCTAATCAATGGGTATAAAATATTAGTTATGCAAGATGAAGAATTTCTAGAGATCCACTGGCTAGCATTGTGCCTATAGTTAACGATACTGTATTATATACTTAAACAATTGTTAGCAGTGTAGATTTCATACTGTGTTCTTGCCATGATTTAAAAAAAATCTCCAGAGTCTTTATATATTGTCTCATCTGATCTTCACAGCACCTCATACTCAAAGAAGGTTTTAGTGCTGCTAGTGCATACTAAGTATGTATACTTAAGCTGAGCAGGTTTACTTGACAAGTTCGAGGTTACAGAAGTTGGTGAGTGGCAGAGCAGGGCCAAGGTCACATCTTCTAGCTCTCAAGCACTGCGCTCTTTCTTGTCCCATACTTCGCCACTGTTGCTGCTTGGGCTGTTTTCTAGCGGCAAATGTGCTTGGACTGAGCCATTCAGACTCTCTCAGCCTCTCTTTCTGTGAGAAAGATAGAGCTTTTGTGAAGCCAGAGTTTGGGTTTTGAACTATGAAGTTGTGGTTGAATCTTTCTCTAAGATGGAAGCTACAAGCTTGGGTTCATCAGCACAATACTTCAACTCACTGAACTACCAGCTTCATGGAGCGAAAAGAAAGATTATTTAAATGTTGGCATCTAATTACATTTACCTAGAAGTTGAAGTGTAGGCTAAATATAGCTTGAATTTAATTTCTGTTTTATAAACCCTACAATGTTCTGTTGCCAAAGAGGGCATAGAATTTTTAATAGATAATTTTCAGAATTGCATATGAAGCTTATGTACAGCATCTTTTAGTAAAGGAGCTGAGAATTAGCCCAGCTCAAAATATTTTCCCTGCTTTGAAAATAGACTCCTCTTAGCCTTATGGAGGATGACAAAGCCTGTGGTTGCCCATTAACCAACTGCTGGTTATTACTTGTTAAAATGCTGTTATTATCTCTACTGGACAGAAAAATATTAAAAGCAAATTATATTCCTTTTTGTGTACATCTTCCTTTGAAAACTTTTCTTTCTTTAAAAAAAAAAAGGGGGGATACGTGTACAGAACGTGCAGGTTTGTTACATAGGTATACGTGTGCCATGGTGGTTTGCTGCACCTATTGACCTGTCCTCTAAGTTCCCTCCCCCCACCCCCCACCCCCCAGCAGGCCCTGGTGTGTGTTGTTCCCCTGTCTGTATCCACGTGTCTCATTGTTCAATTCCCACTTATGAGTGAGAACATGCGGTGTTTGGTTTTCTGTTCCTGTGTTAGTTTGCTGAGGATGATGGTTTCCAGCTTCATCCATGTCCCTGCAAAGGACATGATCTCATTCCTTTATATGTCTGCATAGTATTCCACACATTTTCTTCATCCAGTCTATCATTGATGGGCATTTGGGTTGGTTCCAAGTCTTTGCTATTGTGAATAGTGCTGCAAAAAACATATGTGTGCATGTGTCTTTATAGTAGAATGATTTATAGTCCTTTGGTTATATACCCAGTAATGAGATTGCTGGGTCAAATGGTATTTCTGGTTCTAGATCCTCGAAGAATTGCCATACTATCTTCCACGATGGTTGAACTAATTTACATTCCCACCAATAGTGTGAAAGCATTCCTCTTTCTCCACAGCCTCATCAGCATCTATTGTTTCCTGACTTTTTAATAATCACCATTCTGACTGGTGTGAGATGGTATCTCACTGTGGTTTTGATTTGCATTTCTCTGATGCTGAGTGATGTTGAGCTTTCTTTCATATGTTTATTGGTCACATAAATGTCTTCTTTTGAGAAGTGTCTGTTCATATCCTTTTCCCACTTTTTGATGGGATTATTTGTTTTTTTCTTATAAATACATTTAAGTTCCTTGTAAATTCTGGGTATTAGACCGTTGTCAGATGGGTAGATTGTGAAAACTTTTTATAAGTAGATATGTAGCTTCCTTTCTGAGAACTACCTAGAAGATGGAGATTTGGCTGGAGGGTCATCACTGGCTGTGAGAAAGAACACTAAAATGTGGGCCAAGGCCAAAGCTAGAGCCAGGGTTGGGTCAGGGGAGCTACTGCCCATGAGAGCTGGGCTCAGGACAGCACAGCCAGCTCTGTAGAGAAGAGAAACCTGAGCAGGGGCTGGTCTCAGGGCCCAGATGGAGCCAAGGTGAGGTCACCTCACCACCAGTGTAACATGGACAAAAGTCTTGCCTTTCCTAGCCACTAAAGGCTCTGTTCTTTAAAGGACTAGTACTTTTACTTTGGGTGGTAAATCTCTTAGGGTTGGAGTAGTTCCAGAGGTGTGGTGACACATACTTTTGACTTTAGTAGGGTAATTAGGATTACAAAGTGTGGAGAAACTTCAGCATCTTTCAATGCTCTGTATTCTTTAGGAATAGGTGTCTTCCAAAGTCTCCCAGTACCTGGTACAGGACCTTATAATCAATCATCCTTTCATTTCTGTTGCTTATAATGGGTCCATGACAATGGTGACAATTTTTAACAAGTTTAAAAGCTATTCGAGGCTATCAGCAGTAAATGGAAATTATGTTACGTATTTAAGTACTGTTGACTAGTAGCTGTGTAACATACACACGCATACACATACACACATCACATATCTAGTGCTGTCTGAATGAATCTTACAATTGAGTTAAAATGACACCCATAATAGACACATTTTGGTAAAAAGCTGTTCAATCAGTGGAACAGACAGTACACACAGTAGGTTCCTGGGTTAAATTGCAAGTTGGAAAATGCAAAAGAGACTTCCTGGAGTTGGGAAATCAACTGGATTTTGTAGACTGAGTAGGTGTTGGAAAATCAGGGAGGATGGAGCAGTGTCTTCTAGATGTGAAAATGGTATGACCAAAGGCACGGAGCTGTCAAATCCTCTTTTATTCAGGATTTTAGGATTTGTCACCAAAGCCAAGTGGGGAGAAGGGAAATAAGGGTGGAAAGTTAAGGTGGAGCTAGAGTAGGATGTCAGCAACTGCCTGCCCCAGCCCGGCCGAGGAATGGGTAAGTGATTACAGGAAACCAGCAAGCCCACCTCGGCTCAGTGCAGGAAACCGTAGTAAAAGCCATGTCTGTCAGTGTCTGGTGCTTCATCTTCATACTTTGTTGGGGTCTGGGATTAGTCTGTCATAGAGTTAGGTGATAATGTAGCAAGCCAAGGAGCTATTGTATAGGTCCTTGGAAAAAAGAAGTGTTGCGATTTTAAGATTAATGCGTTTACCACATGGATTGTTACCACCCCTGTCTCCCACTGTAGGGCGTATATTTGTGTTGTTTTTCATAGTAGGTATGAGGGAGCTAGATATTTTCTTCTCCCTTTGTGTACCTCTACTCAGCATCACCCTAGCCACCAACTTTTTATGCCCCACTTCTGACACAGGCAGACGTCTGCAGGATGTCAGGGAGTTGAGATAGCAGGTGTTATCTCTGCTTGTGGGACAGAGGGCAACTACTTAGTCTGTTCAAAAGCGGAAGTTATACCTCTTGTCTTCTGACACTGAACAGTGGCTAACAGAGCTCATTGGCTTAAATCCCTTTGTAAATTGTAATCATTATTCTCTTGAGCAAGAATTCTTTCCTAGAAAGGACATTTTTCAGTTAATAAAACATCAGTGGATGTTTCTGTGGAGACTGTTTTGAAGATTTGGTTAAACGAGAAATATATCAGTGAAAGCACCCAGCCCTGGGGTTTCTGGAACTACAACATTCTAGGAGCAGATTTTACCTCTCCTATATAAAATAGGCCTAGTTATTTCCTTGGAGGGTTGTTTTAATGATTAGAAATAGTATGCATAAAGCACCTGGTGCATGGGCACTCAGTAAAGGGTAGAAGTCATCAATACTGTCTACTATTTATATAGATTCCTCCTCCTGAGTTGGGGGTTTGCTGTGGTGCATTGATTCAGTGAGATGCTTTTAAATTAAGAAGGTGGCTGCAGCATTTTCTGTAAGCAGTGACCACGCGAAGCCGGCCAGGCAGAGGCAGGCTTCGTGAAGACTCAACCTGACATAGTCACTGACGAGAAGCAATCTTTTTAGTTTTGCTTTGCTGAGAAGGTGGTGCTGATTGCTTTCTTCCATTGGGAAATCAATTTATTGTGCAGCAAATCTTAGTAAGCAGTTTCATACTATTGCTTTTCTAAAAAAAGAGACATGTTTCTGTTTTTATTAATCATGGAACTGACAGAAGATGGTAGAATTTGTAAAAGAAAATAACCTGTTTGCTCTCCTTTTTACCACACGTACTGTCTTCTATAAATTAGGAATAAAGAAGGGATTTTTATCTTCCAGTCTTGAAGCTATACCCTCTTCTGGTTTGAGACAAACAGCCTCATGTCCTTGGAGACCTGCCATATATGAATTTCTGGAATAAAAGGAATTTTCAGAGATTTTTGTTGGCTGTCATTTTGAAGGCAAAGTAACAGCCATGGTTCCAGGAGATGCCCAAAATAGCTGGGCATGTAATTTTGGGGCTAGATGCTTCCTGATCACAAGCTTGAAAACATGTCCTCCTTGGAGTTGAATCTAAGATCAAGTACCATTGGTGTGGAGAATGAGAGGTTTGTGTGCTATGGTTTTCTGACATATACAGTGCAGCTAATTTTTTTTTTTTTTTTTTTTTTTGTGATGGAGTCTCACTCTGTTGCCCAGGCTGGAGGGCAGTGGTACTTACTGCAACCTCCGCCTCCCAGGTTCAAGCAATTCCCGGGCTAAGCCTCCCGAGTAGCTGAGACTACAGGTGTGCACCACCACGCCTGGCTAATTTTTGTATTTTTAGTAGAGACAGGGTTCACCACGTTGGCCAGGCTGGTCTCGAACTCCTGACCTCAAGTGACCCCCCAGCCTCGGCTTCCCAAAGTGCTGGGATTACAGGCGTGAGCCACTGTCCCCAGCTGCAGCTCACTTTTATATAGTGAGATAAGATTAAAAAAAAAATCTCTTCTCTTGGGTGAAGAGAGCATTTGATAATCTGTTTTATAAAACAGCCATCTGTACAGTTTCCTTAAAGAGAAGTCGTTCTTCATCCTTTTGCAATAGGTTTGATTACCCTATTTTATTTTTACATACAACACTGGTTACGTAAAGTTAAGGGCAGCCTCATGATGGGCCAGCAGTTACCTCCATGCAGGTAGGAGGCAGTGAATTGTGGCCCATTTTTTGCCTCTGCTGAGTATTCTACACCAATGACCAAGCAGCCTCTGGGGGGCAGCAGAACACCGGATAAGACTACTGTGCCCTGGGCTGTCAGGCTTTTCTGACTTGTCATCCAACCCCTCGTTTGTGTCCTTGGCTCAGTGCCCAACCTTCTCTTTGCCTAGCAAAACTCATCCTCTTGGCCTTGTCAGAATGAGAGCCTTCGCCCTTCAGCCTCCTTTGCCCCACTGTCTTCACTCACACCCTTCTCCCCTGCACTCTGGAACCTTTGTGGTCTACTTTGTACCATGTCACATAGCTTAATGATGGGAATTGTTTGCTATTGTTTCACAAGCAGGTTTGCCCATCCTTATAGCAAGAACAAAGTCATGTCTGTTTCCCATAATGCCAGGAATTCCCTGAAGGCCTAAAGACATGCTCAACAGCAGGTGGAATATCCATTAATCTGTAGTGAGTGCTTGATGCCTATTTGCTAATTTGATTGTCAAGATGGTCCTGTTTTTGCACAAAGGAAAGTATTGGCTTTGCTTTACTTATTTCTGAAACTGCTACATTCTCACATGCCTTCAAGTTTAATTGTTCCTGATTGGGGTGAAATATAGAGGACTTTAAAAATTAGCCCAGGGTTGTAATGGAAGCAGTAAGTTGGCTGTACAGATGCAGATTTGCATCTTTGTCTTTCTCCTTCCCAGCTGTGTACCTTGGGCAAATTAATTTCTCAACCTCAGTTTCCTCACCCATAAAATGGGATTATCTAAGGTGATCAAATAATTTATTATCTAAACTGGAAACTGGAACACATTTGAGAGTGGAGGATGTTAAAGAAAAACCAGAGATAGGTAGTAGTTGAAGCAGTAAAAAAAAAATTATTTGGGAACTGTTGTAATAGGGGAAAAGAGACCTCAGTATGGAACTGGACTCTTTTTTTTGAGACGGAGTCTTGCTCTGTCACCCAGGCTGGAGTGCAGTGGCATGTTTTCAGCTCACTGCAACCTCCACCTCCTCCTCCCGGGTTCAAATGATTCTTCTGCCTCAGCCTTCCAAGTAGCTGGGACTACAGGCCCACACCACCATGACTGGCTGATTTTTGTATTTTTGGTCGAGACAGGGTTTTGCCATGTTAGCCAGGCTGGTCTCGAACTCCTGACCTCAGGTGATCCACCCGCCTCAGCCTCTCAAAGTGCTGGGATTACAGGCAAGAGCCACTGCACCCAGCCAGAACTAGGCTTAATTCTGAATACAGCTTGGATAAGGGGGATATAGCCAAGGAGCAAGGTGGGGGTCATTGAGTGGAATATTAAGAGGAAACATTGGGAAATAGGAGGATTCTGGCTAAACAGACCTAACAGGATTCCTCCTGAAGGCAGCCAGGGTGATCAGACACCAAGAGTAGGTGATGAAGAATTTGGCCAGATGATGGAGCATGATCAGATATTGCAGGTGGGGGGTTCGTTCTAAACTGACTTAGCAGGATTCTTGCTACAATAAAGATGGACACCAAGGTTGAGGCCTAGAGAGCTTAGAGGAGCTTGACTAAAGTTTAGTCAAGGAGAGAGTCTTTGTCCAGTGGCACAGTTTTATCATAGAGTCTTTTAAAAGATTTATTGCCTGATAAGTTGTTTTTATTTTTAGCCTGCCTACCTATACAGTTGTTCTATTAAGCCAGGTATAGTGACTCATACCTGTAATCCTTGCACTTGGGAGGCTGAGACAGGAGGTTCACTTGAGGCTAGGAGTTCAAGACCAGCCTAGGCAACTTTTATATCATCTCTACAAAAAAAGTTTTAAATTAGCTGGGTGTGGTGGTGCATGCCTGTAGTCCCAGTTACTTGGGGGGCTAAAGTGGGAGGATTATCTGAGTTCAGGAGTTTGAGGTTGTGGTAAGCTGTGACTGCACCACTCTACTCCTGCCTGGGTAACATCTAGAGATGCTATCTCTAAAAATAAAATAGTCCTGTTGAAAACATTTTGAATAGAACAATTTCCTCTCTAAAAACAATTTTATTTCCTCTTCAAAAACAAGTTTGATCTCCTCCCCTAAATTAATATATAAACAGGACAAATGCTAAATTGTTTAAAATGCTGGGGCAGTAGGTATAAACTATACATATGGTGCTTTAAAGAATCAAAGTGGTACATGTAAGTGTCTAGTACTTGGAACATACTGTGTATTCAGAAAAGGATTTTTTCATTTTCCTTCCTGGAGGAAGGTTGGACAAAGAAGCACTGATCAGCAATAAAGGCCTATGGGCTTTTTAAAAAGGCTATTGCAAGAAGGGTATGCTCCTAGCTTTCCAGGTCCTAACAGCTCAAGGTGTGAGTTTTGTCCAACTCAAGCAGGAAATTACTGATTGAAGAACATAGTACTGTCTCTACGTACTCAGGCAGCTGTCTCAGCAATGGAGAACATACCCAGGGGACAGCTATGCATTTTGTCTGGTACTTTGGCTGCCCTGTGAGCACAGAGCTCTTTTCTTTATTGTGAATTCACGACTGCTTCTGGGCAACCTGCCTAGAAAGCTGGGGAACCGTCTCTGGCACCCATCTGCTGCACCCAGCTCCTGCCTGTTTAGGAACGTGATCTTACCAATTGCATTTAAATAATGGGTTTACCATAAACTTAATAGTTTGAGCTGTAAAATCCACACTTGCTGTATTAGTCCATTTTCATACTGCTATGAAGAAATACCCAAGATTGGGTAATTTATAAAGAAAAAACACTTTAATGGATTCACATTTCCACATGGCTGGGGAGGCCTCACAATCATGGCAGAAGGTGAAGGAGAAGCAAAGGCACATCTTACATGGCGCCAGGCCGGAGAGCATGTGCAGGGGAACTGCCCTTTATACAACCATCAGATCTCGTGTGAGACTTATTCGCTATCATGAGAACAGCATAGGAAAAACCCACCCCCATGATTCAATTACCTCGCGCTGGGTCCCTCCCATGACACGTGGGGATTATGGGAGCTACAATTCAAGATGAGATTTGGGTGGGGTCACAGCCAAACCATATCACCTGCCTTGAAGGTTGCTGGCCTCATGTAGCCAGAAGCTTAACTGCCATTCTGTGATTGGATTTCCAGGGTTGGGCCCATCCCTTTCAGAAACTCTAAATTCATGACTTCTTGCCCTGCCTCTTGTAAGTGCTATTTTGCTCTAGTAATGAGAGCTCTTGAGCCTGTGTGTTCATTTAACCTAACACCCTGCAGAGCTAAGGCTTGGGTTTTCGCCAACTCCTTGTGGGATGGAGAATCCAAGGAATCTGGCCTCTTGGAAGTGAGGAAGGATCTGCATATGTGAACAGCAGTATGTGACAGGATAGTCAAGCTGGGGAGCAGATAGAGTTGCAGGGCAGCCCTCTGTATGTCTCCTAACAGCCTCTTCTTTCTCTAGGTATGTGTACATTCCAGTGGGCGGGTCCCAGCATGGCCTGCTGGGGACACTGTTTTCCACGGCGATGACATTTGCATTTGTGAGCTACTGGCATGGCGGCTACGACTACCTCTGGTGCTGGGCAGCGCTCAACTGGCTGGGAGTCACTGTGGAGAATGGAGTCCGGAGGCTGGTGGAGACTCCCTGCATCCAGGACAGTCTGGTGAGCAGGATCCTTGCTGCTGTGTTAGGGGACAGTGGAACTAGGCAGATCAGGTTTATTAGGGATGGGGCCATCAGATTCCCTGCCCCCACTATGGGCCCTTTCTACTAGGTTGGTTCAAAGTCCATATGCCTAGAGGCAAGACAGCTGGAAAAGAAGCTTCTGTAGTGCATATATGTGTGTTTGTGCATGGGTGTGTGTGTGTATATATAACTATAAAAAATGTATTATGTAAAAATTAGAACATTTAAACAAGAAAATAACCTCTCAACAGAAACCATGTTAAGATCCATTCTTCTAAATTTTTTCCATGTGTATATACAAACAGACATATGTATATAACATTAAAACAAATGCTATTACAGAGAGATGATTGTATCGGGACCACCTTTTTAAGTCACTGAGTCCATACCTAACCACCCTTTTTAATGGCTACATAGAATTCCCTTACGTGGATATGCCATAATTTATTTTAGTCTCCTATTATTAGTAATCATATTATTCTAAAGATTTTTTGCAACTATCAACTGTATTAAGATGAATATCATAACCAGGATGAATTCTCGTAAGTGAAATTTCCAGGTTCAAGGTTTTTCTCATCTTTAATGTTCATTATGTATATTGCTTATTAACTCTTAACTGCCCTGTAGACAAAAGTACACTAATTTGTATTTCTACCAATGGTGCATAAGAATGACCTTGCTAATACTGAGTATAACTGGAATTTTAAATCCTTGATAGGTATTGTATATAGTAGTATAAAAAACAGCTAAGGTTTTTAAGAAGCAGTTCAACTTTACAGGAAAATGATTTGGAAAATCAATTAAGCATTTCTCTTTACACATATATTTTAAGTGATTTTAAACTATGGGCATAGCTTTTATCTTGCGAATGTGATATATGATATATTACAATCTTGTAGGAAATCATCAGTTCTGAAGATGTAGCAATATTCCTCTAACCCCGAAAAAAGTAGCTAAAAAGAAATGTGCTGGCATCAGTGTTCATGGCAGGCAATCACACACAGAAAATTTGAAAAATGATTAATGTGGCTACATTCCACCCAGTGTGAATAACTAAAGCAAATGCACTTTAAAAAGCCCTGTCAAAACAGAATACATTTACATATGTTTTTATAAAGATAGCCATAGTACAAGTGGACAGTTATTTCAATAAAAACTGAAATAAACCGAGTAGTCAAACAACACATTGGAGGGGATTTAAATATGCTCATGTATGTATAAAGATAAATATTTTTCCAGCCATCAGCAGGAAAGAAATGCCAGTGGATTCTAACAGAAAATGTTATTTCAGTGAAAGCCATGGCTATGTAACACACAGGAAAACCAAAAAGGATGGTATCATAAAGATTTTAATCTTCATCCTCAAATCTGAGCATTCTGCTCCAAAGCCTGAAAACACAGTTACCACCTTTGAAAGTCAGAAGGTTCTTTTCAGCCCAGTCTGTAGCCCTGCAACACATTTCTGTGCTCTTTCATGAAGCAAGTAACATTAACCTTGAACTTAATGTTAAGCAGTGCTCTGTGGCCTTTGAGCCATAGCTTATGCTAGTAATAATTTTAGAAATCTAAAACATTCGAGTAACCCAACTGTGCCATGTAGCCTGTGACCTGTTCATTTTGGTTCAAAATAAATCAAGGCATCAAGCACACTTACTCACAGGATGAAGCTCTTGCTTGTCTACCTTGCTCCATCACACCTTGCTCCAGGACTCACTCATTCACCTCACTTGACCTTCCATCTACAATTCAGGTACCTTGGTACATAGTAATTTTTGATATGCATTTTTTTGGCAAAATATTTGTCTTATATGTTGCAAGTATGATGTTTGGCTTGCATATTTATTGAGCAAGAATATATGAAACTTATTTTTATCACCTACAAGCCTGGTAGGCAGTTACAGCTATTTAGACGATGGACTCCTTGAGTACATGGCCAGGTTCCCATTACTCTGTTTATCCCCATTGTCTGAGTGAGCCTCAGTGTTAAATCAGTGCACAATTAGTGCTTTCATATCAGGTTGATTATTTAGTTCTTCCTCCACTTGCCCAGACATAGAATCTTCCTCCAGTACCCTGTTTCTTATGTAGTTCCACACAACATCCAAATGCACACAATTTTTTGAGTAAACTATTTCCCCACTTAGGTTACCCTTCTTCCCTCTCTTTTCATGAATCAATTTCCTGTTCTTCTGTCAAAATCCAAATGAAGACTTACTGGCTTTGTGAGTTAATTATGCATGCCCCTCACATCCTCAGTAGTATTCAGAGTTCTCCAGAGAAACAGATCAATAGGATGTGTGTGTATTTTGGTAGGGGGATAGGGATGACGGTAAAGAAATTTAGTATACAGAATTAGACCATGTGATTTTGTAGGCTGAGAAATTCAGACCCAGGAGAGCTGATGGTGTAAGTTCCAGTCCAAAAAAAAAAAAAAAAAAAAAAGGCAACAGAAGACCAGTGTCCTAGCTCAAAGACAGTCAGGCTTGAAGACAGAAAAAAATATTGTGTTAGCTTTCTATTCTATTCAGAACTTCAACAGATTGGATGAGGCCCGCTCACATTAGGGAGGGAAATCTGCTTTATTCAGTCTACTGATTCAAATGTTAATCTCATCCAGAAACGCCTTCACCAGAACACCCATGAATAATACTTAAGTGAATATTTGGGCCCAGTCAGGTTTACAAATAAAATTAACCATCACACCCTTTCTTCATGGTGTATATCCTTCATCTGTTTTATTAAGATAGATTAGCAGATCTCTAAATAACAAAAATTATTTTTTCTTTGTCATATCTTCTTTACAAAAAATGTTTGTGGGTACATAGTAGTTGTTTGTATTTATGGGGTACATGAGATATTTTGATACAGGCATGCAATGTTTAATTATCACATGGGGGTAAATGGGGTATCCATCATCTCAAGCATCTATCCTTTCTTTGCGTTACAACCAATCCAATTATACTCTTCCAGTCAGTTTTAAATATGTAATAATTGTTGACTGCAGTCACCTTGTTGTGCTACCAAATACTACATCTTATTCTATATAGCTATATTTTTGTGCTCATTAACCATCATTCCCCCCAACTACCCTTCCAAGCCTCTGGTCATCATCCTTTTACTCTCTGTCTCCACAAGTTCAGTTGTTTTAATTTTTAACTCCCACAAACAAGTGAGAACAGGTGAAGTTTGTCTTCTGTGTCTGGCTTATTTCCCTTAATTACTTCCAGTTCCATCCATGTTGTTGCAAAAGATAGGCCCTCATCCTTTTTTATGGCTGAATAATACTCCATTGTGTATATGTACCACATTGTCTTTATTTGTCTTTTGATGGACACTCAGGTTGCTTCCAAATCTTGGCTATTGTGAATAGTACTACAGTAAACATGGGAGTGCAAATATCTCCTTAATTTACCGATTTCCTTTCTTTTGAGTATATCCCAAGCCATAGGACTGCTGAATCATATGATAATTCTGTTTTTAGTTTTTTGAGGAACCTGTGAACTGTTTTCCATACCGTGGTCTTGTACTAATTTACATTCCCACCAACAGTGTACAATGATGCCCTTTTCTCCACATCCTTACCAGCTTTTTAGGTAAAAGCCATTTTAACTGGGGACAGATAATATCTTATTGTAGTTTTGATTTGAATTTTTCTGACTTTAGTGTTGAGCACTTTTTCATATACCTGTTTGCCATTCATATGTCATCTTTTTAGAAATGTCTATTCAGATCTTTGCCCATTTCTTAATCAGATTATTAGGTTTTTTCCCCGTAGAGTTGTTTGAGCTCCTTATATATCCTGGTTATTAATACCTTGTCAGATGGACAGCTGACAGATATTTTCTCCCATTCTGTGGGTTGTCTCTTCACTTTGTTGATTGTTTCCTTTACTGTGCAAAAAACTTTTAACTTGATGTGATCCCATTTGTCTATTTTTGCTTGGTTGCCTGTGCCTATGGGGTATTACTAAAGAATTATTTGCTAACTCCAGTGTCCTGGCAAGTTTCTCCAGTGTTTTCTTTCAGTAGTTTCATATTGTGAGACCTTAATTTAAGTCTGTAGTTCATTTTGATTTGATTTTTTTTAATATGGTGAGAGATAGGGGTCTAGTTTCATTCTTCTTTATATGGATATCCAGTTTTCCCAGCACCATTTTTTGAAGAGATTGTCTTTCCCCCAGTGTATGTTCTTGGCACTTTTGTTGAAAATGAGTTCACTGTTGATGTGTGGATTTGTTCCTGGGTTCTCTATTCTGTTCCACTGATCTGTGTGTCTGTTTTTGCCCAATACTGTACTATTTTGGTTACTAGAGCTTTGTCGTATATTTTGAAGTTAAGTAATGTGATTCCTCCAGTTTTGTAATTTTTCCTCAGAATAGCTTTGGTTATTCTGTGTCTTTTGTGGTTCCATATAAGTTTTAGGATTTTTTTTTTAAATTTCTGTGAAGAATGTCCTTAGTATTTTGATAGAGATTGCATTGAATCTGTAGATTACTTTAGGTAATATGGATGTTTTAACAATATTGATTATTTCAATCCATGAACATGGAATATCTTTCCATTTTTTGTGTCCTCTTCGATTTCTTTCATCAGTGTTTTATAGTTTTCATTGTGGAGATATTTCACTTCTTTGGTTAATTCCTAGGTATTTAATTTTATTCATAGCTATTATAATTGGGATTACTTTCTTGATTTCTTTCTCTTAGTCTGGCTAAAGGCTTGTCAATTATATGCATCTTTTCAAAAAACCAACTTTTCTTTTTTTTTTTTTATTATACTTTAAGTTCTCGGGTGCATATGCACAAGGTGCAGGTTTGTTACATATGTATACATGTGCCATGTTGGTGTGCTGCACCCATTAACTCATCATTTACATTAGGTATATCTCCTAATGCTATCCCTCCCCGCTTCCCCCACCCCACGACAGACATGGGTGTGTGATGTTTCCCTTCCTGTATCCAAGTGTTCTCATTGTTCAATTCCCACCTATAAGTGAGAACATGCGGTGTTTGGAAAAAACCAACTTTTCATTTCATTGATTTTTGTATTTTCATTGTTTCAATTTTATGTATTTCTTCTCTGATCTTCGTTTCCTTTGTTCTAATTTTGGGTTTGTTTTGCTCTTTTCTAATTCTTTAAGGTGCATCATTAGGTTATTTTTAGTTTTTCTACCTTTCTGATGTAGGTGCCTATAGCTATAACTTTCCTCTTAGTACTTCTTTTGCTATATCCCATCAGTTTTGGCATGTTGTGTATCCATTATCATTTGTTTCAAGGAGTTTTTCAATTTCTTAAGTTCTTCATTGACCCTCTGTCATTCAGGAGCATATTGGTTAATTTCCCTGTGTTCGTATAGTTTCCAAAATTCCTCTTGTTATTGATTTCTGCTTTTATTCCATTGTTCAGAGAAGATAGTGGATATCATTTCATTTTTAAAAATGTTTTAAGACTTATTTTGTGGCCTAACATATGGTCTATCCTTGATAAAGATCCATACGTGGAGGAGAAGAATGTGTATTCTGCAGCCATTGGTACAGAAATGTTCTGTAAATGTCGATTAGGTCCATTTGACCTGTGCTGCTGGTTAAAGCTGATGTTTCTTTGTTGATTTTCTGTTTGGATGATCTAATTCTGAAAGTAGGGTGTGTAATTTCTTCAGCTGTTATTGGGGTATCTCTCTTTAGCTCTAATAATATTTGCTTTATACATGTGGGTGCTCCAATATTGGTTGCATATGTTATTTACAACTGTTATATCTTCTTGCTGAATTGATCCCTTTATCATTATATAATGATGATATGTAGCTTTGTCTCTTTTTATAGTTTTTATCTTGAAATCTATTTTGTCTGATTTAAGTATAGCTGCTGATGTTCTTTTTTGGTTTCCATTGGCATGGAATATCTTTTTCCATTTCTTTACTTTCAGTCTATGTGTCTTTATAGGTTAAGTGTGTTTCTTGTAGCCCACAGATTATGGGGTCCTGTTTTTTAATCTATTCAGCCGCTCTGTCTTTTGATTGGACAGTTTAGTCTATTTACATTCAATGTTATTATTTATACATAAGGACTTCCTCTTGCCATTTTACTATTTGTTTTCTGTTTTATGGTCTTCTCCTTCTTTCCCTCCTTTCTGTCTTTTAGTGAAAGTGATTTTCTCTGGTGGTGTGTTTTAATTTGTTGCTTTTTGTGTATCTGCAGTGTGTTTTTTGATTTGAAATTACCACGAGGCTTGCAAATAATCTTATCACCCATTATTTTAAACTGACATCTTAACACTAATTGCATAAACAAATTAATAAGCAAAGAGAAAACGAATAAAAACTCTACACTTTAACTTTGTTTGCACTGCTTTTAACTTTTTGTTGTTTTTGTTTATGTCTCATTGTACTATCTATGTCTTTAAAAGTTGTTGTTGTTATTTGTTTGTGTTTTAGTCTTTCTACTCAATATATGAGTAGTTTGTAGGCCACAATTACATTGTTATAGTATTCTGTGTTTTCCTGTGTACTTGATATTGCCAATGAGTTCTGCACCTTCAGATGATTTCTTACTCCTTATTAACATCCTTTTCTTTCAGATTGAAGAACTGCCGTTGGCATTTCTTGTTCTGGTGTTGATGAAATTCCTCAGCTTGTTTGTCTGGGCAAGTCTTTATTTCTCCTTCGTGTTTGAAGGATATTTTTGCTGAATATACTATTTTAGGATAAAAGTTTTTTTCCTTCAGCACTTTATGTCTTGCTACCCTCCCCTGAACTGTAAGGTTTCCATTGAAAAATCTTCTGCCAGATGTGTTGGAGCTGCAATGTATGTTATTTGTTTCTTTGCTCTCGTTGCTTTTCAGATTCTTTTTTTTAAATTAATTTATTTAAGTTTTAGGTTACATGTGCACAACGTGCAGGTTTTTTACATATGTATACATGTGCCATGTTGGTGTGCTGCATGCATTAACTCATCATTTAGCATTAGGTATATCTCCTAATGCTATTCCTCCCCACTCCCCCCACCCCACAACAGGCCCCAGTGTGTGATGTTCCCCTTCCTGTGTCCAAGTGTTCTCATTGTTCAATTCCCACCTATGAGTGAGAACAAGCGGTGTGTGGTTTTTTGTCCTTGTGATGGTTTGCTGAGAATGATGGTTTCCAGCTTCATCCATGTCCCTACAAAGGACATGAACTCATCATTTTTTATGGCTGCATAGTATTCCATGGTGTATATGTGCCACATTTTCCTAATCCAGTCTATCATTGTTGGACATTTGGGTTGGTTCCAAGTCTTTGCTATTGTGAATAGTGCCGCAATAAACATACATGTGCATCTGTCTTTATAGCAGCATGACTTATAATCCTTTGGGTATATACCCAGTAATGGGATGGCTGGGTCAAATGGTATTTCTAGTTCTGGATCCCTGAGGAGTCGCCACACTGACTTCCACAATGGTTGAACTAGTTTACAGTCCCACCATCAGTGTAAAAGTGTTCCTATTTCTCCACATCCTCTCCACCACCTGTTGTTTCCTGGCTTTTTAATGATTGCCATTCTAACTGGTGTGAGATGGTATCTCATTGTGGTTTTGATTTGCGTTTCTCTGATGGCCAGTGATGATGAGCATTTTTTCATGTGTCTTTTGGCTGCATAAATGTCTTCTTTTGAGAAGTGTCTATTCATATCCTTCGCCCACTTTTTGATGGGGTTGTTTGTTTTTTTTTCTTGTAAATTTGTTTGAGTTCTTTGTAGATTCTGGATACTAGCCCTTTGTCAGATGAGTAGATTGCAAAAATTTTCTCCCATTCTGTAGGTTGCCTGATCACTCTGATGGTAGTTTCTTTTGCTGTGCAGAAGCTCTTGAGTTTAATTAGATCCCATTTGTCAATTTTGGCTTTTGTTGCCATTGCTTTTGGTGTTTTAGACATGAAGTCCTTGCCCATGCCTATGTCCTGAATGGTATTGCCTAGGTTTTTCTTCTAGGGTTTTTATGGTTTTAGATCTAACATTTAAGTCTTTAATCCATCTTGAATTAATGTTTCTATAAGGTGTAAGGAAGGGATCCAGTTTCAGCTTTCTACATATGGCTAGCCAGTTTTCCCAGCACCATTTGTTAAATAGGGAATCGTTTCCCCATTTCTTGTTCAGATTCTTAATTAATACTTGACTTTGGGAGTTTGGTTATCTTGAGGTAGTCTTATGTGGGTTAAATCTATTTGATGTTCAGTAACCTTCCTGTACTTGAATACTGATATCGTTCTCTAGTTTGGGGAAGTTCTCTGATATTATCTCTTTGGAAAAATGTTCTACCCCTGTCTTTTCCTTTCTTTACCTCCCTTTTAAGGCCAGTAACTCTTAGATTTGCCTTTTCGAGGCTGTTTTCTAGATCTTATAGGCATGCTTCATTCTCTTATATTCTGTCTCTTCTGACTGTATTTTCATATAGCTCATCTTCAAGTGTGCTAATTCTTTCTTCTGCTTGATCAGTTCTGCTAAGAGACTCTGAGGCATTCTTCAGTATGTCAGTTGCATTTTTCATCTTCAGAATTCCTGCTTGATTCTTTTTAATTATTTCAGTGTCTGTTAAATTTATCTGATAGTAGTTTGAATTCCTTCTCTGTTTTGTCTTGAACTTCATTTAGTTTCCTCAAAGTAGCTATTTTGAATTCTCTGCCTGAAAGGTCACATATCTTTGTGTCTCAGTGATTTACTCCTGGTGCCTTCTTTAGTTCGTTCACTGAGGTCATATTTTCATGGATGGTTGTCATGCTTGTGGATGGTGCATTGGTATTTGGCCATTGAAGAGTTAGGTATTTATTGTAGTCTTCACAGTTTGGGCTTCTTTGTGCCTATCCTTCTTGGGAAGGCTTTCCAGGTATTTGAAGGGACTTGGGCATTGTGATCTAAGTTTTCGGTTGCTCTAACTGTATTTGCATTACGGGGCACCCCATGTCCAGTAATACTGTGGGTCTTGCAGACTCATAGAAGTACTATCTTGGTTATCTTAGAGAAGATCCAGAAGAATTATCTGGATTGTCAGGTAAAGACTCTTGTTCTCTTCCCTTACTTTCTCCCAGACAAATGGAGTCTGTGTGCTAAACTGCCTAGAGCTGGAGGTGGAGTGACACAAAAACTCCTGTGGGCCACCACTACTGGGACTGCACTGGGTCAGACCTGAAGCTAGCACAGTACTGGGTCTTGCCCATGACCTACAATAACTACTGCCTGGCTACCACCTATGTTTGCTCAAGGCCCTAGCGTTCTATAATCAGCAGGTGGCAAAGGCAGCCAGACTTGTATCCTTCCCTTCAGGGTTATGGGTTCCTCCTGGTCCTGGGTGGGTCCTAAGATGCCATCCAGGAGCCAGGTCCTGGAGTCAGAAACCTTAGGAATCTACTTGGTACATTATTCTACTACAGCTGAGCTGGCACCCAGGCTGCAATACAAAGTCCCTGCCACTCTTCCTTCTCCTTTCCACAAGCAGAGGAGTCTTCTCCCTTGGCTACCACCACCCCAGGCTTGTGGCAAGTACTGCTTGGCTATTGCCAGTGTTCATTCAGGGTCCAAGGGCTCTTCATTCAGCTTGTGATGAATGCTGCCAAGCCTGGGTCCTTCCTTTCAGGACAGTAGGCTCCCTTCTAGTCCAAGACAGGTACAGAAATGTCTGAGCCAAAACCTGGAACTGGGGACCCCAATAGCCTACTCGGTGCTCTACTCCACTGTGGGTGAGCTGATACCTTGGCTGCAAAACAAAGTCCTCTTTCCTCTTCCCTCTTCTTTTTTCAAGCAGAAGGAGTTCCCCATAGCTACCACAACAGGGAATGTGCTATGTCATGCCTGAAGCCAGCAAGTCTCTGAGTCATACCAAAAGCCCACAGCAAGCACTGCCTGGCTACCACTGTTGATTATTCAGGGCCTAAGGGCTCTTTTGTCAACAGGTGATTTATTTTGTCAGGACTGCATCCTTCCCTTCAAAGCAGTGGGTTCCCTTTTGGCCCAGGGTGTGTCTAGAAATGTCTGGGAGGTAGGGGTTGGGATGGGGGCCTCAAAACTCTGCCTGGCCCCCTATCTTACTGTGGCTGAGCACGTATCCAAATTGCAAGACAAAGTTGTCTTTACTCTTCTGTCTCCTCTTCTCAAGCAGAAGTTTGGAAGGAATCTGTCTTGGAGCTGTGAGCTATGCTGCCTGGGGTTGGGGGACGGGTGATGCAAGCACTCCCTTGGATGCTCTGGCTGGTGACTCACTAGGTCACGTGTCCCCAAAATCAACTGGCTTGAAGTTGAGCAAAGTATGAGGACTTGCTCAGGAATTAGTCCTTGTTGCCTGGACTGCCTTTCAAGTTTATTTATGACCTTAGAGCCCCTTAGCCCTTGGGGACAAGTGTTGCTGGAATCTAAGTTCTGACCACTGGAATGGATGCTTCCCCTCTGACTAGGGCTGTTCTAAGTGTCCCCTCCACAGGCACTGGGCTGAGTTCTGCCCATCTTTCTGCTGTGACAGGGCAGCCCTGAGTTCCAGTGCCAAGTCCCACAGTCACTGTGATCTTTCTCCCCCAAGTGTACAAGTTGTCACTCCCCGTGGCTGCTGTTGGAGGATGGAGGAGAGGTGGCATTGCAATTTAAGACTGTCTTTCCTACCCTCTACAGAGCCACTTTCAGTGATACAAAGTTAAAACCAGGTACTGTGATGCTCATCCAATTTTTGGTTCTTATAAAGGTGAGTTTTTATGTGTAGCTAGTTATTTAATTGGGTGTTCCTGCAGAGAGAATGATTGGTGAAGGCTTCTATTTGGCCATATTGCTTCACCTCCCACTTCTTTCATATCTCCATCTTCAACCCCAAGGCCTTATTTGGGGATCAAAATATAGAAGAATTCTATTTCTTGGTGTTGGTAGACTGAGAGCTGAACATTCACGCAAATACTTGTCAGAGCTGAGTGCTGTAAATAGGAAGCCCTCTGATCGTCTACAACAGGGTTGTCTGATAGAACTCCTATGGTGACAGAAATGTTAATTGCACTGTCCAGTACAGTAGCTACTAGCCCCACTGAGCACTTGAAATGTGGCTAGTGCCTATTTAAACTCTGGATTTTAAATATATTTAATTTTAACTAATTTAGATCCCAGTATCTCCCATATGGCTAATGGCTAACATTTTAAACAGTGCAGCTCTAGAACATACCCCCACTTCTAGAAAACATTAAAGGTTAAAGGCATATAGTGTGTCTGACCCTGCTGTTACTTGGAATGATCTTCATTAATGCCCTTGGCACCTCATATATACAACTGGCTGCTGAACCTCTTGACTTGGAAATCTACCAGGTTTCTCAGACTTTGCACGTGTAATATGGAGCTCGTGACCCCCTGCCTCCCAGTAATTCCAGCATACTCTCTTTCCCCAAATGACACCACCATCTATCTAGCTACTCAAGGCTAAAGCCATTATGTTATCCTTTGTACCTCTCTCCCCCTCAGATTGATCTGCATATACTGTACATTCTACCTCCTAAGTAGATCTCGAATTTTTTTGTTTGTTTCTATTTCTACTGAAATCCTAATCCAAGCTGCTCTCATTTCTTTCCTGGTCTACCAAATAGCTTCTAGGTAATCCCTTGCTTCCACTTCCTCCCCCTTCCATTTATTATCCTCATAGTCCTGAGTGATATTTCTCCATAAAAACCTAACCATGTTGCTGTCTTTTAAATCCTATAGTGACTCCCATTGTCTTAGAACCAGGTCCACAACATTTAAGATGACCTATGACACCCTATCTGATCTTTCACTTACTGCCTCTTCCCACTCCTCCCCCCTCACCTCTCTGTTCTTCTTTCTGTTCATTACATACCTGATCCCTCTAGCCTCAGCTCCCCAACACAGGTACTTCCATCTCCTAGGATGCTCTCTTTCCTTCCCCTCCACCCCTATTCATCCTTCAGATTTCAGCTCAAATGATATCTAGTTTGGAAACCCTTCACTGGCCCTCCTAACTCAATTAGATCCCATTTGATAATTTATTTTGGGTACCTTGTATATGTTCTCTTCTGCTATATTTATCACAGTTGAAATGAAATTTTTGACATAATTTATTCCCTCGCTGAACTGTAAGCCTCATAAGGTCAGAAATACTGTATTCTTGACCCTTATCCCAATTCCTGGCACAGTGCCTTTTTGAATAAAAGAAAGAATGAATGATATTTTCTGACTTCACTCACTGAGGGAGTTTAAGATGAAATAGACTTAGGCAGCAACATGAAGAATATAGATTGAATACCGAAAAAAACTAAAACTGAGAGTTATTGAGTATTGGGGGACTATCTTACTAAGCAGCAGCATAGATACAAATAGGTCTAGTGATGGCAAAATGCTGTTATAATGCTCAGTGCACAAAATACATATACAGGAAAGAATGGGGTAAGGAGGAATTAGTCTTCCTGGTAGCCTGCTGCTTTATGAGAGGAGGGATTGTTGGTTGTGACTCACTGAGGCACAGAGCTGTAGGAAGCTAACAAAAGGCATTTTCACAAAGCACCCAAGCTGGGTGGACGTAGAGGAGTTACTGCTGGAGCACTGTGCTTTTTCTCTGTACAAGTACTCTCCAGGGAGTGAGGATTTCTGTTTAGCATTGAAATATTTTAATCAGAGGAAACATTTTGAAGTGACACCACTTCATGCCAATTCTCAGTTTGATCTCTCCTTTGAAGGAAGGCTCCTTCAGGCTGCTTGTCGATTATTCCTACCCAAAGAAGAGTCTATATCTCAAATAGTTCACCTACTCCCACCCCTGATTTCCATTTCATTGAATAATTTAAATACGTTCTCCTCTCCCAGCCTGGCCTCCGCCTCTTTGCCCCAAGAGTGTCCTGCTGAGCTGATTTATATCCTTTCTGAAGCAGTAAAATTTCTATTTATACACTTAATTGAGGAAACATGCCTCCAGTGAAAACCACCGAGAATCAGTCTGATGGTCATGGCAGGGATTTGATGTTCTGGGGCATCAGAGAGAACCCAAAGACTCTGTGGTGGTGGTAATTCAATGTATTGGCCATGTTGATTAGTTTGATTTTGAAGATAGAGAATTCCAAATTGGGTTTAAGAAATCAACCAATTTAAAAGTATTGTTGATTGTAAATTGATCAACGTGATCCAAACTATGGTTATTTGATTCTATGGAATCCTAACTCACCGCTTGGCAAGACATACATATCTAGTTGGCCTGATTAGAAAACCTTTTCGTTAGGGGTCAGTAGTCCAAGCCCCAACTAAGCCTCTGAGGGAGTATAAAGCAAATTTGAGAAGAGCTGTGGCATTTGGTAATGGCTCATGGCCTTCTATTCCTCCTCCATTTGGATTTCTTTCAACAAATTGAAATCAAGCACTTACTGGACATAAGCCATTTTCTCCAGAAAATGGTACCCTTTCTCGACAGAGCCCACTTAGGCATAGTCAACGTGGCTATTCATTTCTTAACTTACTCATTTAGGAAAAAAATTCTCAGCACCTTATGTAGAAGACACTTTGCACATTACTGAAGGACTCTAAACTGAATAAGACATGATCCCTGCCATGAATGAAGGTGTCTTGCCTGGCCTCCTATCAGAGTACTCATATTATGATGACTGCTTTGGATTAAAGACATAATAAAACCATGAAATGGGAGCTTCTCTCTATGAAGAGCTAAGAGATCTATAAGACAAATGAACTTGCCTTTATAAACATAATAAAATACTGATTGACCTAGTCTTCCCAGGCATTGCTTAGAAGAAAGGCCCAGGCTAGAGATAGAAATTTGGGACCATATAGATGATATTTTGGAGCCATGAGAATATTTGAGACTCAGAGAGAGAGAGAGAGAGAGTATGTGTGTGAGAGTGTGTGTGTGTGTGTATGTGTGCACACACGCATGCAAAGAGAAGAAAAGGCAGCCAAGGAACACCAATATTGAGAAGTTGGATCGAGGGGGAGCTGAGGAGGAGGAAAATCTAGAGGGTGATTTCACAGAAACCAAGAAGAGGGGAGATTTCATGGAGAGGAAGTGGTCCACGGTGGTGATGCTACTCAGGGGTCGAGTAAAATGAGAGTGCTGGCAGTGAGAAAAGAAAGCTGTGAGAGTTCATCCCTGCCCACTAGGGGCTTATGATCCAGATGGAGAGGTGAGATGTGCACAGACCAGTTGAGGACCACTGTAAAGCATTACGTGCGAGTGGCCAGAATGAGGCACAGAGGCCCCTGATGTTCATGGTGGTCAGTGTGAGCTAAGCTTTTGGGAAAGGTTCATTAAAGAGCCAAGGCTTGAATAGCACACTGGAGAATCAACAGTAGGATTTGGCTAGGGTCAGGAGGGAGAAGAAGACTAGCATTGCAGGCTGGGAGAACAGTGCGTGCGCTACCTGAAGTCAGGCATGGGCATTCTGTATCCAGGTCACGAGGCTGCCAAGACAAATGGAAGAAGGGCGGTTAGAGAGGCCACATGGTTCCCATAGAAAGGGATTTGAATGCCATGCTTAGAAATTTAGGAACAGAAACCACTTAACCAAACAGGAGAGCGTTAAATTAACATATTAATCCCACACATCAAATTAGCCTGTTGTGCCAGCTTATTAGTGCTCACCCGGGCCTCTGGGTCTGGAAAAAAGCAATGCGTGTTGTTATGAACGGTGTGTTCCTTGGTGGATTACGACCCATTGGCACCCCCACAGCATTGTCTCCCACTCCTAAGGATCATTAGCAATGCAGGAAACACACTATGCAATTCGCTGGTTACACATTTTCTTCTCTGTGGGAATTGGAAGCCTGAATCTTAACCTCTCTGGTCTAAGAGGTAGAATTCTGAAAATAATTCCATGTTAGTTCAAATATGTTTAGTATGGCGAAAGCATTTTCAAGGGTTCTTTTTAACTTTCCATGACTGAGTCGGCTATCTGACAGATAGAAGGCTTTGAAATAGAACCCATTTTCAGTTATTCCTGGACTGATGAGCGCCAGGACTGGCCAGTGCTTGGCCTTCTGCTGCCTTTGCTCGGCTGCTCAGTTTCTTCTGGAGTAAGACGGGTGTCCTGCTCCAATCATCGGCTGCTATCATGGCATTCTTATACCTTCTCCCTGCTTAATGCAAACTCTCACCTGAGAAACCATAATCTCAGGAACGAGTACTGAGCCAAAGATGAGATCCATAGTGTGAATGTAAATGGTTGAAACTGGCTTTTCTCGGTGGTTTGTGGAGTTTGATTCTTTATCTGTGAGTCTCTGGTCTCTGTTTCTGCAGCACAGATGAATGGTGGTTGCTCTAATCTCAGTCTAGTGCCTAGCAGCTTTCCATAGATGAACTTGGGAAAAATAAATAATCTTAGTATGTATATGTTGAAGATTTGGCTGTGTCTTTCCAATTCTGGGTATCTTTTTCTCCCCTAAATCCAAATTACCCACTGGAGGTGACAAAGCTTGAATTTCCAGTGTTCCTGTTACTGATGGAAAGAAAAATAGCCCCCTTGTTTCTTCCTAAAATAATATGCACATACTCACTGCAATATATTTTTACAATGTGTATTTATATATGTACATATGCTGTGACTATATGTGTGCAACGTGTGTGTGTGCATGCCTATGTACTGATTTTTAAAGATCTAAGGCAGAGATGTGCAGGACTTCCAAAATAAAATTCTTCTAAAGTATCTCACATTCCTTCCAAGACCTAGAAATAAACTCTGCTTTAAAAAGCCTTTCGAGCAGCTGCTGGCCTTGTTAGAGATAAGCTGGGTTGGTATCAATATACTTGTGATTACTGACATGTATTGAAACACAATTTAAGTTGGATCTTGCTTTTTCTTCTGGTGTCAAACTTGTAGTTTACCTAATAGGCTGGAGTAATTGCTGGAACAGACACTGACTGTCTGCGGAAGGGTGGGAAGCAAGGGTATAATATAAAAGGTGAAGTTCATCCATCAAACTGACTGCAGCTATTAACAGTGATGTTAAGATAGTTTTTTTGTTTTGTTTTGTTTTGTTTTGAGACAGAGTCTCACTAGCCTGGAGTGCAGTGGTGCAATCTAGGCTCACTGCAACCTCCACCTCCCAGGTTCAAGTGAAGCTTCTGCTTCAGCCTCTCGAGTAGTTGGGACTACAGGTGCATGCCACCAAGCCCAGCTATTTTTTTTTTTTTTGTATTTTTAGTAGAGACAGGGTTTCACCATGTTAGCCAGGATGGTCTCGATCTCCTGACCTCATGACCTGCCCACTTCGGCCTCCCAAAGTGCTGGGATTACAGGCCTGAGTCACTGCGCCCAGCCTAAAATAGTTTTATTGAGAGGGAATATGTTCTTGACATATTAGTTTTAAATGATCACCAAAGAATGATAGATTTAATAAAACCTTATTTTATTTAAAAATACACATACACAGAAAAGTATGTGAAAGGTTATATACTAAAATAATTGTGGTGGTTAACTCTTACTGGTGGTATTATTTGTGATACATAGTCTCTTATTTTTGCTTATTTATATTTTCAACTTTTGCTACAGTAAATGTATACTGTTGTCTAACTAAAAATTATTGAGAGAGAGGTGAGCAGGACGGATTCACCCTAGGGAGGTTTTGATTAGCTGATCCTGGATGCTTGATTTATGTTAAAAATTGAAAGTTGGATGTAGTGGCTCATACCTATAATCCCAACACTTTGAGGGGCCAAGGTGGGAGAATCCTTTGAGGCCAGGAGTTCGACACCAGCCTGGGAAACACAGTGAGACCTCCTTGCTACAAAAACAAATAAAAATCAGCCTGTTGTGATAGCATGTGCCTGTAGTCCCAGCTACTCAGGAGACTGAGGCAGAAGATCGCTTGAGGCCAGGAGTTCTGTGCTATAGCACGCTGTGATTGTACTTGGCAAATAGCTATTGTGCTCCAGCCTGGGCAAGACTCAACAACAACAACAACAACAACAACAACAACAAAGAAATTGAAAGATAGAGGTGTCATTCTCCAGAACAAACTAGGGCTGTTGTAGTTGCCACCCTTTGCCAAAGAGGAAATGGTACCAGATACTGTACAAGAATCTTTCACATTTGTTATTTGATGTAACCACTGTAGCAAACCTCCAGGGTAGGTGTTACTACCTCCAGTGTTACAGATGTTACAGATAGGGAAACGGGAGACTGGGGAAGGTAAATAATTTATCTCAGAACACAGTTAGTTAAATGAGGGAGGGAGTCAAACCCAGTTATACATGATCTAAGCTTCCTGGATTTCAGACTAGAAGAATCTTCTTTTTGATAAACCCCTCCTACTTAGATCACCCCATTCACTTCATGTCTCTTTGCTGCTTATGCATACTGGGCATTGGATTGATTAATATTCCAGCCCTCAGTACTTGGACAACATGGGTTTCGATTGTGTCTCCTCTCAACCTGTTTATTAAATAACTACTCTGAAAAATTGGTCCGACTAAAAAGGGAATGTTCACAGAAGGAATTTTACCACATTATCTCATGTGATGTTAACAGTAGCCTTATAGGCGTGTATTATCATTATTCCCATTTTACCAGGAGAAAAACTGAAACCTGAAAGTTTAAGTAAGATACGTCCATGGCTCACACATCAAGTATGAATGCAATAAGTAAATAAATAAGCAAACAAGCAGCCTCCATTCATCCCATTCTTGGGTCCCTTTCCCCAGCAACAGTAATGTTCAGTTCTCTTAGTTGTTTGTGATTTTTACTTCTTTCCAAAGTGTACACTAATTTTATTAATTTCTTCATTTATGTTTTTTTTTTTCCTCTTTTGAGGCAGAGTTTTGCTCTTGTTGCCCAGGCTGGAGTGCAGTGGCTTGATCTTGGCTCACTGCAACCTCCACCTCCCAGGTTCAAGCGATTCTCCTGCCTCAGCCTCCTGAGTAGCGGGACTACAGGTATGTGCCACCACACCTGGCTAATTTTTTTTTATTTTTAGTAGAGATGGAATTTCACTATGTTGGCCAGGCTGGTCTCGAACTCCTGACCTCAGGTCAGGTCCATCTGCCTTGGCCTCCCAAAGTGCTGGTATTACAGGCATGAGCCACCACACCCAGCCTATTTCTTCATTTATGAATTGTAACTATTAACTGCTTTCTTTATGAAATGTTAGCATCTTAGACCTACTCCCTATTTTTCCTCCTAATATAATAACTTCATTTTTTTTTGTTAATTCAGCACTCAGCACACCATGGTAAGTGTGGCTCACTGCCAAACTGTTTAATATAAGTACATTTCCTTTCTTACACAACTGTTTCCTCCACTTAAGTGAAGAATTGCCTTGCCATTTTTTTCTTTCATTAGTTTACTGTCCCTCCTTCTTCCCAGATTCTCCAATAGAACTAGAAAATCTCTCAGATAGAATTTTCCACATGGTCAGAGGTATCTGCTCATCTGTCTATTCTCTTCCTTTCCTGGAGAATCTCTCTTGAAGCCCTTCCATCCTCTTTTCCTACCTGACTCACTGCTCTTTAGATGCTCTGTTTAGCTGTTGCACTGATGCTTCCCTTCTCCTCTCTCCTTTAACAAATCCCTGTTTCTTTGTGCTGGGTCTTGTTTTTTCTTTTTCTCCCTTGATTTGGTGGAGGACATCCTTTAGTAGCTTTTTAAGAAAAAGGCCATAGGAGATAGTTTTTTGAGATCTTGTATTTTCAAAAATGTCTTATTTTTACTCTCACACTTGATTGATTAGGCACTGGATCTCAGGTTGAAAAGTAATTTGTCCTAAGAATTTTGAAGATATTATCTGTCTTTTAGCTTTTAGCTTTTCTGTTGAGAAATGCCATTTTCATTATTGTATGCATTCTGTTTTTTGCTCTGGAAGCATTACTGCGAACATCTTCGGTATATATCTAAAATTTTACTGTGCCCATTGTCCCTGCCTTTAAATTCTCTTTGATGCAATTTATCTGTGAAAGAACTTTTATCCTGGGGGTGAAGAAGGAAGAGGGAAACCTCGTGCTCTATATGTTTATTACCCAGATTTTTAACTAATCTTCCTGTTTTTTTCTTCTTCATGGGTTACTCTTGCTATCTGTGCTACCTGGTGCCTCTATGCCTGGGCCTTATGGTTATTTGGTGTATAAATGGCTTTCATCTCTTTAGCATCTAGTATTTGGGTATCTCAAATCTGCTAATTCTTTAATCTGCTCTATCTTATTAAAATGGGTTGACTTTGCTCACCCTGCTCTTCATTTTTTATCTGTGAATGTGTATCCTTTTCAAATGTTTACTTGCATTTTAATGAGTCTTGTGAAGGCATCAGAGATGTTTATGTTGTTTAATTGGATATCGCTAGAGGAGTTTTGTTTCCTATCACTTGGTGAATCATTCTTAGATTTTAAAATATTAAGGTTACTTAAAAAGGAGGCCTTGCTTTAAGCTGTTGTTTTTGTGGTTGAACAGAATATAGCTGAGGCCACAGCTGTCACATCCTAGGCTTATTCAGTAGTCCCAAGGGATCTAAGTGTAGCCTGGAGAGGGAGGCCCCCAGTACCATGAGCAGCTATCACTTGGGTGTGATGGTCGACAGACTTTCATCTTCCCACCCATGTGCCTTGACTCTTTATGCTCAAGGGAGATGGCCAGGGTCTAGGGTCATTTAGTGGAAAGATTCCTAGGTTTTCTTTTCTTTTTTTTTTTCCCCGTTACTTCTTTTTAACTTAATGAAGTCATTCACGACCATATGCCTTAAAAAAAATAGAGAGAGAGAGATGAGGCTGAAAGTCCTCTGGGATACCCACCCCCTAACAACCACACCCTGCTCATTTTCCTCCCCAAGAGGTAACCATTATTATCAGTTCGAATGTAGTCTCCCATACCTTTGCTGCTTTGTGTTTGTGTGGTTTAAGAAATATTCTAAAATTTGCACTTCTTTTCACCCTCACTGATATGTTGTGAAGATGATCCTATGATAGTATATGCAGATCTGTGTAATCAGGAATGATATGGATGGTATGGATATATAATTTAGCCATTCTCCTGTTGAAAATTCAGGTTGCTTCTATTTTTTTCTCTTGCAAATAATGCATCTGCAGTGAAGACTCCATTTCGAGATTCCTCGTACATGTGTGTACGTGGTTCTTTAGGGCAGTTACCAAGAACAAAATAGGATAGAGGAGTTGGCAAACTAAGGTCCATGAGCCAGATTTGGTCAACTGATTGTTTTTGTATGGCCTGCAGTTATGAATCATTTTTACATTTTAAAATTGTATTATTGAATACTCTGTGCTTTCCTCAGTTATTTAAAAGATCACCTTTAATATATAGTAAGTATCAAAATAGACTTGGATTCATTTTTTGGCTATCTATTCTGTTGCGTTGATCTAGTTGATTATTCCAGTTTTAAATACTAGAGTTTTAAATTGTGTCCTGATTTCTGCTAGGGAAAGCCCCTACCTTTTCTGGCATTTTTTCAGAATTGCATTGGCTAGTTTTGCCTGTTGACTCTTCTGTCTGAATCTTAGAACTGGTGAAGTTCCCCAAAACTCTGTTTGGTATTATTATTGGAATTTTTTAGATGTGCATTTAATTGTAGTATGATTTGAGTAGAGTTAACATTGTCTTAGTCCATTTGTGCTGCTGTAATGAAATACCTGAGACAGGGTAATTTATGAAGAACAGAAATTTATTTCCTAGAGTCCTGGAGGCTGGGAGTCAAAGATCAAGACACTGGCCATTTAAGTGTCTGGTGAGGGCCCAGTCTCTCCCTCCAAGATGGCATCTTGTTGCTGCATCCTCCAGAGGGGACAAAACTGAATTGACTCACAGTTCAACATGGCTGGGGAGGCCTCAGGAAACTTACAATCATGGCGGAAGGCGAAGGGGATGCAAGGCACCTTCTTCACAAGGCTAAAAGAGGAAGTGCCAAGCGAAGGGGGAAGAGCCCCTTATAAAACCGTCAGAGCTCATGAAAATCCACTATCATGTGAGCAGCATGGGGGAAACTAGCCCCATGACTCAATGACCTCCACCTGGTCTCTTCTTTGACACGTGGTGATTATGGGGATTACAATTCAAGATGAGATTTGTGTGGGGACACAAAGCCTAACAATATCACTATGGTTGTGCTTTTTCAAACTTTCTGCTCCTTTTGTTCAAAATTTAGGTAATTTATATTTTCTAGATAATTTACATTTTTAAGCTATGTCTGCAAATATATTGTTATATAATCTCCAAAGATTTAAAAATTTTCTATATATCTTCTTATTTATTTTGCCTAATTGTCTTAATTGATAAAAATTGCTAAAGTTTACTCATTTTATTTTTCCTTAAATAAAAACTTTTGGTTTGAATGAGTGAAATTTTAAAAAATGTAATGGTGTGTTAATTCTTGCAAATTGTTGATATTCATTATTTTATTGCAGTGTTATCAGTGAGCATAGTTTTTATGGTAACTTTTTTTCTTTATTTTTTCAACTTTTAAGTTTAGGGGTACATGTGCAGGATGTGCAGATTTATTATATAGGTAGATGTGTGCCATGGTGGTATGCTGCACAGATCATCTCGTCTCCTAGGTATTAAGCCCAGCATCCATTAGCTGTTCTTCCTGATGCTTTCCCTCTCCCTAGCCCCTCAACAGGCCCCAATGTGTGTTGTTCCCCACCATGGGTCCATGTGTTCTCATCATTCAGCTCCCACTTATAAGTGAGAACATGCGGTGCTTGGTTTTCTGTTCCTGCATTAGTTTGCTGAGGATAATGGCTTTCAACTCCATCCATGTCCCTTCAAAGGATGTGATCTTATTTCTTTTTTGGGCTACATAGTATTTCATGGTGTATATATACCACATTTTTCTTTGTCCAATCTATCATTGATGGGCGTTTAGATTGACTCCATGTCTTTGCTATTGTGAATAGTGCTGCAATGAACATACGTGTGCAAGTATCTTTATAATAGAATGATTTATATTCCCTTGGGTATATACCCAGTAATGGGATTCCTGGGCCAAATGGTATTTCTGCTTCTAGGTCTTTGAGGAATTGCCACAGTGTCTTCCACAATGGTTGAGTTAACTTACACTCCCACCAACAGTGTAAAAGTGTTTTGTTTTGTTTTGTTTTCTCTGCCACCTTGCCAGCATCTGTTCTTTTGACTTTTTTATAATTGCCATTCTGACTGGCATGAGATGCTATCTCATTGTGGTTTTGATTTGCATTTCTCTAATGATCAGTGATGTTGAGCTTTTTAAAAATATGTTGGCCACATGTGTGTCTTCTTTTGAGAAGTGTCTTTCATGTCCTTTCCCTACTTTTTAATGGGGTTGCTTGTTTTTCTCTTGTAGATTTATTTAAGTTCCTTATAGATGCTGGATAGTAGACCTTTGTCATATGGATAGATTGCAAATATTTACTCACATTCTGTAAGTTGTCTGTTCACTCTGATAGTTTATTTTGCTATGCAGAAGCTCTTTAGTTTAATTAGATGCCATTTGTCAATTTTTGCTTTCGTTGCAATTGCTTTTGGGGATTTTGTCATGAAATCTTTGCCTGTGCCTATGTCCTGAATAGTATTGCCTAGATTTTCTTCTAGGGTTTTTATATTTTGGATTTTATATTTAAGTCTTTAATCCATCTTGAATTAATTTTTTATATGGTATAAGGAAGAGGTCCAGTTTCAATTTTCTGCATATGGCTAGCCAGTTCTCCCAGCACCATTTTTTAAATAGGGAATTGTTTCCCCATTGCTTGTTTTTGTCAGGTTTGTTGGAGATCAGACGATTATAGGTATGCGGTCTCATTTCTGGGTTCTCTATTCTGTTCTATCAGTCTATGTGTCTGTTCTTGTACCAGACACATAGTTTTGGTTATTGTAGCCTTGTACTATAGTTTGAAGTCAGGTAGCCTGATGCCTCCAGACTTGTTCTTTTTGCTTAGGACTTGCCTTGGCTATTTGGGCTCTTTTTTGGTTCCATATGAATTTTAAAATAGTTTTTTCTAATTCTGTGAATGATGTCAATGATAGTTTAATGGGAATAACACTGAATCTATGAATTACTTTGGGCAGTATGGCCATTTTCACGATATTGATTATTCCTATCCATGAGCATGGAACGTTCTTCCACTTGTGTCCTCACTGATTTATTTGAGCAGTAGTTTGTAGTTCTCCTTGAAGAGGTCCTTCACTTCCCTTGTTAGCTGTATTCCTAGGTATTTTTTTCTTTTTGTAGCAATCGTTAGTGGGAGTTAATTCATGATTTAGCCCTCTGCTTGCCTGTTGTTGGTGTATAGGAATGCTAGGGATTTTTGCACATGATTTTTATATGCTGAGACTTTGCTGAAGTTGCTTATCAGCTTAAGTAGCTTTTGGGCTGAGATGATGGGGTTTTCTAAAGATAGGATCATGTCATCTCCAAAGATAATTTGACTTCCTCTCTTCCTATTTGAATGCGCTTTATTTATTTCTCTTGCCTGATTGCCCTGGCCAGAGCTACCAATACTATGTTGAATAGGAATGGTGAGAGAGAGCATCCTTGTCTAGTGCTGGTTTTCAAGAGGAACAGTTTCTGCTTTTGCCCATTTAGTATGATGTTGGCTATGGGTTTGTCATATATCACTCTTATATTTTGAGGTATGTTTCTTCAATACCTAGTTTATTGAGAGTTTTTAACAAGGAGGGATGTTGAATTTTCTCGAAGGCCTTTTCTGCATCTATTGTGATAATCATGTGGTTTTTTGTCTTTAGTTCTGTTTATGTGATGAATCACCTTTATTGATTTGCGTATGTGGAACCAACTTTGCATCCCAGGGATGAAGCCAACTTGATTGTGGTGCATAAGCTTTTTGACGTGCTGCTGGATTTGGTTTGCTGGTATTTTATTGAGGATTTTTACATCAATGTTCATCAAGGATATTGACCTGAAGTGTTCTTTTTTTGTTGTATCTCTGCCATGTTTTGACATCAGGATGACGCTGGCCTTCATGATAGCTTCTTAGAATGTATTTAGGCTCCTTTCCTGGTTTAATACATGTTGAGTTTGATTATGGCCCACCTGCGTTTGAAAACTGCATGTATTCACTCTTCCATGTATCTATTGGTAAAGGCCTGTTAATGTTTTCATTGTGATAAAGTATACTTAACATATAATTTGCCATTTTAACCACATTTGGGTATACAATTAAGGGGTATTAAAAACATTCGTATTGTTTTACAACCATCACCACCCTCAATCTCCAGAACTTTTTCATCATCCTAATCTGAAACCTCTCATCCTCTCCTCTCTCAGTCCCTAGTAGCCACTATTCTACTTTCTGTCTCTATATATTTGACTGTTTTAGGTATCTTATATAAATGCAACCATACAATGTTTGTCCCTTTGTGTCTGGCTTATTTCACTTAGCATAATGTCTTCAGAGTTCATTCATGTTGTGGCATACATCAAAACTTCTTGCCTTTTTAAGGCTAAAATGCCATTTTATGTATATATTACTCTGTTTACTCACTCATCCATTGATAGACATTTGGGTTGCTTCCACCTTTTGCCTATTGTGAATAATACTGCTGTGTACACTGGTGTACAAATATATGTCTGAGTCCCTTTCAGTTCTTTTTTGTATATACCTAGAAATGAAATTGCTGGATCATATGGCAATTTTGTGTTTAATTTTTTGAGAAACCTATATACCGTTTTCCACAGTGGCTCTACCATTTTACATTCTCACCAGCAATACGTAGGGCTTAAGATTTCTTCATGTCCTCATCAACACGTGTTATTTTGTTTTTGATATAGCCACCTTAGAAGGTGTGAAGTGATATCTCATGGTTTTGATTTGCATTTCCTTTATGACTTTTTTGTGCTTACTGGCCATTTGTATATCTTCTTTGGATAAATGTCTATTCAAATTCTTTGTCCATTTTTAAAGTTGGATTTTTTTGGTTGTTGTGTTATAGGAGTTCTTGATATATTCTGGATATTAAGCTCTTATCAATATGTGATTGCAGATCTTTTCTCCCATTCCTGGGTTGTCTTTTTACTCTGTTAATAGTATCATTTGATGAATAAAAGTTAATTTGGTAAGGTCAAGTTTATCTCTTTTTACTTTTGTTGATGGTGCTTTTTGTGTCATAGCCAAGAAATCATTGCTAAATCCAATGTCATGAAGGTCTCCCCCTGTTTTCTTTTAAGAGTTTTATAGTTTTAGTTCATCTTTTTAGATACTTGAACCCTTTTGAGTTAATTTTTGTGTATGGTATAAGGGTCCAGTTTCGTTCTTTTGCATGTGTATATCCAGGTTTTCCAGAACCATTTGTTGGAAAGACTGTTCTTTCCTCATTAAATGCTCTTTCTGCCCTTGTTGAGGATCATTTGGCCTTGTTGAAAACTATTTAACCGTATATAAGGGTTTATTTCTGGTCTCTCTATTCTATTCCATTGGTCTATATGTTTATCTTTATGTCAGTACCACACAGTTTTGATTATTGTAGCTTTAAGTGTTAAAATCAGGAAGTTTGTGTCCTGCAACTTTGTTCTGCTTTTTCAAGGTTGTTTTGGCCAGTTGGGGCCATTTGAGATCTCAGGTGAATTTTAGGGTGGGGTTTTCTATTTTTCCAAAGAATGTCATTGGGATTTTGATAGGGATTATACTGGATCTGTGGATCACTTTGGGTAGTATTGTTATTTTAACAATATTCTTCCCAACTGGGTGCAGTGGCTCATGCCTATAATTCCAGCACTTTGTGAGGCTGAGGTGGGAGGATCACTTGAGCCCAGGAGTTTGAGACCTGCCTGGGCAGCATAGTGAGACTTTGACTCTACAAAAAAAAGCAAACAATTAGCCAATTGCAATTAGCCACACCTGTGGTCCCAGCTTCTTAGGAGGCTGAGGTGGGAGGATTGCTTGAGCCCAGGAAGTCTAAGCTGCAGTGAGTCATGATTGTGCTACTGCACTCCAGCCTGGAGACAGAGTGAGACCCTGCCTCAAAAAAAAAAAAAAAAAAAAAAAAATTCCTCCCATCTATGAACGTGGGATATCTTTGTATTTATGTCTTCTTTCAGCATTGTTTTGTAGTTTCATTATACAAATTTTTTGCCTCCCTAGTTAAGTTTATTCCTAAGTATTTTATTCTTTTTGATGCCATTATAAATAGAATTGCTTTCTTAATTTCCTTTTCAGGTTGCTCATTGTTAGTACATAGAGATACACAACTGTTTTTTTGCACATTGATTTTTGTATCCTGCAACTTTGCTGAATTTGTTTAAATTTTTGGTAGAATTTTTAGGGTTTTGTACATGTAATCTGTGAACAGAAATCATTTTACTTCTTTCTTTCTCATTTGGATGCTCGTTCTATTGTTTTCCTTTAAAAAATTTTTTAAATATATATTTATTATACTTTACATTCTAGGATACATGTGCACAATGTGCAGGTTTGTTACATATGTATACATGTGCCATGTTGGTGTGCTGCACCCATTAACTCATCATTTACATTAGGTATATCTCCTAATGCTATCCCTCTCCCCTCCCCCCACCTCACAACAGGCCCTAGTGTGTGATGTTCCCTTTCCTGTGTCCAAGTGTTCTCATTGTTCAATTCCCACCTATGAGTGAGAACATGCGGTGTTTGGTTTTTTGTCCTTGTGATAGTTTGCTGAGAATGATGGTTTCCAGCTTCATCCATGTCCCTACAAAGGACATGAACTCATCATTTTTTATGGCTGCATAGTATTCCATGGTGTATATGTGCCACATTTTCTTAATCCAGCCTATCATTGTTGGACATTTGGGTTGGTTCCAAGTCTTTGCTATTGTGAGTAGTGCCGCAATAAACATACGTGTGCATGTGTCTTTATAGCAGCATGATTTATATTCCTTTGGGTATATGCCTAGTAATGGGATGGCTGGGTCAAATGGTATTTCCAGTTCTAGATCCCTGAGGAATCACCACACTGTCTTCCACAATGGTTGAACTAGTTTAGAGTCCCACCAACAGTGTAATAGTGTTCCTATTTCTCCACATCCTGTCCAGCACCTATTGTTTCCTGACTTTTTAATGATCGCCATTCTAACTGGTGTGAGATGATATCTCATTGTGGTTTTCATTTGCATTTCTCTGATGGCCAGTGACGATGAGCATTTTTTCCTGTGTCTTTTGGCTGCATTAAATGTCTCCTTTTGAGAAGTGTCTGTTCATATCCTTCACCCACTTTTTGATGGGGTTGTTTTTTTCTTGTAAATTTGTTTGAGTTCTTGTAAATTTAAGGACTTCTCTGCATTGGTTATTCTAGTTAGCCATTCGTCTAATCTTTTTTCAATGTTTTTAACTTCTTTGCGATGGGTTCGAACTTCCTCCTTTAGCTCGGAGAAGTTTGATCGTCTGAAGCCTTCTTCTCTCAACTCATCAAATTCATTCTCCGTCCAGCTTTGTTCCATTGCTGGTGAGGAGCTGCATTCCTTTGAAGGAGGAGAGGCACTCTGATTTTTAGAATTTTCAGTTTTTTGTTCTGTTTTTTCCCCATCTTTGTGGTTTTATTTACCTTTGGTCTTTGACGTTGGTGACGTACAGATGGGGTTTTGGTGTGGATGTCCTTTCTGTTTGTTAGTTTTCCTTCTAACAGTCAGGACCCTCAGCTGCAGGTCTGTTGGAGTTTGCTGGAGGTCCACTCCAGACCCTGTTTGCCTAGGTATCAGCAGTGGAGGCTGCAGAGCAGCGAATATTGCTGAACAGCAAATGTTGCTGCCTGATCGTTCCTCTGGAGGTTTCGTCTCAGAGGGGTACCTGGCCGTGTGAGGTGTCAGTCTGCCCCTACTGGGGGGTGCCTCCCAGTTAGGCTACTCGGGGGTCAGGGACCCACTTGAGGAGGCAGTCTGTCTGTTCTCAGATCTCAAGCTGCGTGCTGGGAGAACCACTACTCTCTTCAAAGCTCAGTTGGAAATGCAGAAATCACCCATCTTCTGCTATACTCACGCTGGGAGCTGTAGACTGGAGCTGTTCCTATTCGGCCATCTTGGAACTGCCCCCCACTTTAAAAATTTTTAAATGACACACAAAGATGTATTGGGCAAAACATATTTTGAAATGTGTATACCTGTGGAATGGCTTAATTAAGCAAATTAACATGCACTACCTCACTTATTTTCTGTGGTGACAACACTTAAAATCTACTCTCTTAGTGATTTTCAAGAATATGACATATTGTTATTAACTATATAGTCACTGTGTTGTACAATAGATTACTTCAACTTATTCCTCCTATCTAATTGAAATTTTGAATCCTTTGACCAGCCAACATCTCTCCAACACCCCCTTTTCCCCCAGGGCCTATTAATTTTTATGCAGATATTTTATATTTTTTATTTTGCTCTGTTAGATGTCATTTTCTGGGGAGATTTGCTAAATCTCCTACTATACTTGTGGATCCCAGTTACTTTTAAAAATTCCAGTGTCACTGTAAGCCATATGTTCTTGAAGACATATGGCATTTGAAATCGACAGTTGGTATCTGCCAACCATTGTTAGTGGGATACATGCACGACATATTTGTTGAACAAACATTTCTTGAAAATCCACTTTGTGTATGGCACTCAAGAGGCAAAGATCTTGAAGGTTGCAGTTGAGAGAAGGGAATCCGCACTGCCACACAAATATGAAGTTGTGTAATGTAGTAGGAGCATGAAGATATTCAATTAGAGAAACGTATGTGAATTCTTGCACTGCACTTATCGGTATATAATTCAGGTAAGTTACTTAATCTCTCTGCTCTTCTAGTTCTTCATTTGTAAAATATGAATAGTTTTTACCTACTTTACAGTATAAGTAAAGCTGCTCACACAGTGAATTTTTTGCATCACAAGCTGTATTTATCTAAAACATAGATTGATATTGTCTAGCCCATGGGTTATAGAAACACAGAAATTGGGTGACTGACTTTGCTAGGATTGGGATGATCTACATTTATCAAATGCCAATTGTGAATTAGGTAAATGAAGAGCCTCAGCATGTGCTGGGCAACACAGGTAGAAGATGGAAATATAGAACCTAAACCTAAGTTGGGCTGGTCCAAAGCTGTTGCTCTCCTGAGCTGACATTAAGCTGGGGCTTGAAGAATAAGGAAGATGCATTCAAAGTAGAGAGAACAGCTTTTGCTAAGTCACAGAAATATGGAAGCCCATGTTATGTTTGGGGAACACTGAAGACAGCCATGTCATTGATAAAAAGTGGTGAGAGTTAAGATTAGGAAATAAAATGGGATCCAGTTTAAAATGCCTTCCTATTTTGGATTTCAGTCTCTAAGCAGTGAAGAAATATCAAAGCATTTTGCAGAGTAGAGGCACATAATGTGCTTGATGAAGTAGAGAGAGGAAGGCTAGAGTATGACCAGTCAGTTGAAATTGAGGCTTCTGGAAAACTTGAAGCAGAGATATGCAGACTGGAGGTGGAGCCATGGCAGTGGAAAAGTAAGAACTCAGGGTGAGGCGGTACTATTGCTCAATCTGGAACTTTTAGCAGGAACCCAGGCACCCCAAACATGGCTTAAGTTCTCTAACTAGACAGAGCCAGTTGTTTCCTTAGTTATTTGAAAGTACTCTGAAATTCTTGCATGTACTGCATGGATTTAAATGCTAAACTTTGGCCTCTGCAGTTTTTAAACTAAGCTGGACATCTAAACTATGAGGAAGGTAACTTGTCCAATTAAACAAATCTGGCTTTGCCTTCATTGCTGCAGGTATTTGATTCTCTCTCAGGAGTATGCACACAGAGTTCGGAAAATATAACTGCATTGACCTGATGTTGTTTGAAGCTCTGTACACTTGAAGGAAGGAGGAGGTATTGCTTTCAAAGGCTCTTCATGTATTCATTCAGCTTGGATATAAGGTGGGATAGAACATTAAGGAACTCAGGAGATTCTGTAACTTATTTAGGGCAAAGAGCGAGATGGGTGATAGCTAATCATTGAGCACACATAGGATATGCGTGGTTCTTGGATGCTGTGTAGTTGAGAAACGGTCCTGCCCTATCCTTGAGGAACCTACTATGCTGGTAGGAACATGAAAGAGGGGAAACTGGTGAAACACAGACTTCTAGCTGAAAATGACTGAATATTTTGAGAAGGGGAAACATGTCCTACAGGTTGGCACAGAGATGGGACATGGGCCTTGGAATGACTTTGGAATCTGAGTCCTCCTGACTTTCAGTGTGTCACTGTGGCCGTTCTTCTCTTTCTTGAGAGTTATAATTGTGTCTCTTGTTGTCCCTGGCCTCATCTTTACAGTCTGTGGGGTGTTCACCCCTCATTTGCTCTCTCTGGTGTCCACCAACCCCTCCCTTGCCATTGCCTTTTTCATCCTCTCTTACCCTCTGGTTAGCATTTTTATTAGAAAATGGAAAACTTCAGTGATTATATGGAAGAACTGTGTCCAGCTGCTCAAACCCACCCAGTTTCTGTTTTTAGCTTCTCCACCACTTAAAAATAAGCAGCATCAGGTCCCACTTGCCAAGCCTTTGTCACAGTCTCCAGCAGCCATTCCTCCGGCCATCTGCTCCTCCAGATGCTCAGCCTGTCCCCACCTCCCGTCTCAGCCCCACATGCAGCCCCTCTGTGGATGAGTGAGGGGCTGGCAAGCCCACAGCCTCCAGCCCGACTGTGTCATCTGCCTCCCTTCCCCATGTATGTTTCTAGTTTTGTTTTGACCCACGTTCCTGCAGCCCCCCATCCCCGGCTTGTTTGCTCCCACCAATCCTGTGATTTCCAGGGAAAGGATGCTGCCTGGAAAAGAGGGATGAGTTGCCATGGAGATTTGAATATACACAGGAAGCCATGGACACCTCACACCTGGAAGTACAAACGAGTTTGACGTAAGTTTAGTTTAGCCCTAAGGTTTAGTTGGTTTGGGTTGCAGTCCTTCCCTTTGGAAGTCAGTGTCTTAGACGGAAGTTTAAAGCCAAGTGTTGCCATAGCTGAGTGTTGTCGTGACATTCCTCCATCTCATCTTAGTCTCTTGGATCACAGGCAAACTACTCAGAGGAATTGGAGGTCTGCCCTAGGCCAGTGTTCTGAGGGGCTTGCTGTAACCAGGCCAAAAGTCTAGCACCTGCCCTTGCACCTGAAGAGTGGGTATATTCACATTCACAGGGAGAGAAACTGCCCCGACCCACCCCCTGTCATGTACCGTAGAGACCATGTGGACAACTGGTCACCCCTGCCTGAGAACAAAGTGATTCTAATGAGCCCCACCTCCCATTCTTCCTCTTTCTTCTGGATTTCAGGAGTGTCAGGGGAGGAAGCTTGGAATTGGCGGCTACACCTTGCCTGTCTGTGGCCGGGGGCACAGGAGGCTCCTCCTCACTCTCCATGTGATGACACATGGTGGGCAGGATAGGAGGGGCCTGGTGGTTGAATACTGTGAAGGAACATTCCCTGCCCTGGGATGCATTTCTCTGGGTCTCAGAGGAAAGGGGGTGCATTTTTGGCATTACTCCTAATGCCCCCATAGACCAAGCAAGAACCCTGCTCTGTGATGAATGTAGGGGAGAACAATTCGCCCTTTCTCAACAGGGCTCTGCTGACCTTTTGGGCAGGACGGCTCCGTCCTGCACATTGCCGTGCGCTTATTATCCCTGGCCCCTGCCCACCAAATGCCACATTGCCTTGTAGTCATTGAGACAACCAAACATGCCCAGCAACTTTTCAAACATCTCCTGGGGGATAGTGCCACTCTCATTTTTTGCTGCCAGGAAATCAGATTGCTACAGACTAATCAACACTCTGAGAAGAGACCGGGACCAGACCAGAGCTCTCTTTTATCCTGATAAATTCCTATTAATGAAAATCAAATTCTATTTGTCCATTATTGCCTTAGCTGATGAACTTGGCAACTCTCTTTGTCATACCTGATGGCTTTTCACTGTCTTCTGGTATTCCCCCATTTCGTTTATAATTCTTCAACATGAATTCTCTTGTCAAGGGAGTTTTCAAGTATCTAAGCCATGAGGATGGTGACTTAACACATGAGGCATGCCTCCCACTCGTGAGGCTTGCATCCCGGTGATGAAGGACCACAGGGGTAATCGCTGTAGGACTATGGAAAGGAGAGTGTAAGAGAAAAAGCCTTTAAAGTGGAGGCTTTGGCCCTGTGGCCCTAGAGATTCCGAAAGTTAGATTTATTGATGTAGCTGGCTGGTCAAAGGGAATATACCCTCTAATTTTGTCCATATGACCTGTTTCCTCCTGGGAACTTACCCCGAGAGCTCCTATAAACCAGTAGCTGAGCCAGGAGGTTCCCAAGGTGGAGAGAGAGATCCCTGATGTCAAAACCATCACCTTCCAAAATGTCCAGAGAATGCAAAGAGGAGAGATGGATTGCAGCTGAGACTCCTGTCCCCTTTGCTGTTAGTTATTACCCTCTTGTGGATGAACCTGACAGATCCCACCCCCTTTTCCTTTCCTGTAGCCCATCATTCTTTTTCCCCACTGTTTCACTGTGAAAATGAACAATGCTCTGTTCATTTTGCTGCTTATTGGCATGGCTAGTTTTGTCAGAGGATGAGGCTGTTGGTTAAAATTAGGTTTTTGGATTCCTTGATCATCGTCTATTTTGTCTCCTACCCACTCACCCTGGGGGATAATCAAGAATTGCCTATGGGCATCTTGATTTCTCCTTTAAATCCTTTTAGTTTGATTCTAACAGGCTGTGCTTTAACATTCTTGCTTATTTAAATTTTTTTTTAATTTCTAAATTTTTAAAAAACATTTATAAAATTGAATTGTAGTCATTCATTTCAGATTTTAGTTGCCCCCCCTCTCCTTCCTATCTCTGAGATCAGCAGCTCCTTCACAGTTGGTATGATTTTGACTTTTTTTTTTTTTCCTAAGTAGATATAGGAATTTATGGAACCATGTAGCTTAGAATATGGGGGTAGTCACAGAATCAAAGGAAGCACGGTAGGAGCTGGGGCCTCAGGGCTGGACAGAGGAGTCCTATGCCTCCAATACACGCTGTCTGTTCTTACCTCCCTTGGCCCTCAGCTCCTCCTCCTGCTGTGTCCAGTCCTTACCCTGCCCCAAGTATCAGCTCCACAGTCCTGCTTAGCAGCCCCAGGCAAAGAGAGTCTTCCTCTCTCAGTACCTCTGTTGATTATTTAATACTTGTAATCACTTCCTACAAAAGAAGAGCCACTTAGCTTAACAAGCTATGTGCACTCTCGGTAGTTGACGTTAACAAAGGAAAAATCACACAGGGCCTTTGTGTTCCCTTCTCAGGATGTGAGGCTGGGGGAGACTGATGGGGTTAGAACAGAAGTGGTGGAGTGTCAGACTCAGTGGATCCCTTAGGAATCAAATGTCTTGTTAGTAACCGCAGTATCTGGAGAGAATTACTTGGACGTATTTATGTCAATTAAGACAATTCATATTTTCTTAATCCATTTTGGATCTTCCTCTGTCTCCCAACTTCCTCTCACCCTGCCTCCCTAGTTACTGCTAGTTGAGTCAGTAATACCCAGAAAATATCTTCCTCTGCTTTAGAATGCAGAAAGTGGTAGATTAATGTCCCATTATTCTCAGAGGTGAAGAGTGCTGAATAATAAGCCTGCTCCTTCCCCATTTCTCTCTCATTAACAGTTTTCACACCATGTAGTTATCTCGTACCAGGTCTTGTCTGACAGTGTCCTCTTGTACGTGCCTGTGGCCTCCTAGAGCAGGGGCAAGACTAGAGGTAATCTTGCCTGGTGGCCTCTAAGTAGAGACACCCTACATCACTGGAGAGCATTCCAGAACAACCATGATCGGGCAGACATCTCACTGTCCACTGCACAGCTTCTCTGTGAGCAGGCCACACTTGCGTCTGGCAGCAGTAAAAGCACGTTCCACAGTGATGTTGGAGCAGAGAGCCGTGGGTGGGGAGATGGGGTGACAGAGGGTAGCAGCCAGATCTGAGAGTTAAGAACAGACCCTGGGGCTGGCAGGAGAGAACAGGAGGAGTCAGAAATTCATTTCTCTAGATGGAGAGGACACTGACCATGATGCCAAAGCAGTCACAGGAGATTCACAGTAGGGCCGCATAATAAGTAAGCCTCTTGCTGAAGACTCGCCCTCCAATTTAGTCCTTTTTGCCTGTCATGAATTGCATCGGCTGCTGTCATTGAGTCATTCCGAGTTCTGTTTGTAATTGGAACGCAGCTGAAATTAGGGTGCACGTGACCCTAGAGATGTGTGGGTTTCTGGAGGATATTCAGGAAATATCTCCAGACCCTTTGCTCCCTCTTTCTCTGTGTCTGTGGATTAGGCGGAGGTGCTTATCAGATACCCTGGGCCCCTGCATGTCCCGCTGCTGTGCTGTACCTGGTTCTCATTCTGAACACACGGTCCCTTGGGGTGGTCCCCGTGCATGTGCTGATAGGGCTCGCACACTCCAGCACAGCGACCTCACTCAGAGGGGCTCCCAGAACAGTCAGGATAAAGGCTTTGTTTGCTTTATGAAATCCCTGGGAAAATCTTAAAAGGAGAAGTGCAATAAAGAGCTAGGAAGGACAAGTGGAATTCTTTATTGTGATGCTGTAAAACACCCCTCCAGCCTTGAGTATTTCAGGCACGCCGATACACTTCATCCTCAGTGCCGACGTGTGCTGCGGGTGAAGTGTGGGCCTGAGCTCTGACTCCAGCAGTAGGCTCGGCTCACACTCATTGTCCTACACTCTTATTATGAGATTGCTCTTAATAGCATGTCAGGTTTAGGGGGTGGTTGGATGGCTTCCCAGGGTCAGTGTAACTGGCCCAGGGGATCATGCTGATCTTGACCTAATTCCATGGAGCTATATATACTAGTTATCACAGACAGCAGTTTGAAGTTCTTGCACCTGTAGGTTTACATGCAGAAAGCAAGTGGAGGTGGGAGGGCTGCTAAATCCTAACTGGCTTCAGTGCTTGTATTCCACATGTCAGAGGGAAGCCCTCGCATTTTGTTCCACCTCAAAGAAACAACTTGGGGTATGTCACTTCTTTCCTTAGGGTAGAATGAACATGGTGCAAGAGTACACTTTTGTTTTGTTTCGAGACACGCTCTTGTTCTGTCACCCAGACTTGGAGTCCTGTGGTGTGATCATGGCTCACTGCAGCCTCGAACTCCCGGGCTGAAGCAATCCTCCCACCTTAGCCTCCCGAGTAGCTGGGACTACAGTCATATGCCACCATGCCCAGCTAATTTTTAAATTGTTTTTGTAGAGATGGTATATCACTATGTTGCCTAGGCTGGTCTTGAACTCCTGGGCCCAAGTGATCCTCCCACCTTGGCCTCCCAAAGTGTGAGATTATAGGCATGAGCTGCCACGCCCAGACAGGAATTGAAGTTTTGAGAGCTGTTTAAATAATGACCTGGTTTGGGCTCTGTGGGGAGGCGTCCTGGGCTGGTGACAGAGAAAGCTGGATGGTATCTTAGCCCCATTTTTTCCACCCTTGTCATGAGATGCTTTCTTGCCATTTTTCCCGTAGGCCCGATACTTCTCCCCACAAGCTCGCCGTCGATTCCACGCTGCCCTTGCTTCTTGTTCCACCTCGATGCTGATCCTGTCCAACCTGGTATTTCTTGGGGGCAATGAGGTTGGGAAAACCTACTGGAATAGGATCTTCATACAAGGTAAGTTGCTTGACAGTGCTGTTTTCAGTCAGTTTCTTGTTTTCCATGTATGCGGATGGGATCATACATGGGATGGATGGGATTTGGGGGAAGTCATTCATTGTTATGTTCATGGCATGTGACCTCTAAAGTACCAGCCAGGAATAATTTCCTAAGTTTGACTATGACTTTAAGTGTCCCCTGTTTTTGAGGTACCCCATATCTCCTGTATGTGATACTTGTTTAACACCAAAAGGTATTATTCCAACTCTCCCAAAGTGTATATTCCCTTCCATTACACTATGTTTCCAATTATTTGATATTTCTTAATCTTTCCTACTGCTGTGGTTGAATATTCCCTTCAAAACTCATGTTGAAACTTAATCCCCAATTGGCATTATTAAGAGATGAGGCCTTTAAGAGGTGATTGGATCATGAGGGGTCTGCCCGCATGAATGGATTAACCCATTCATGGATTAATGGGTTATTATGGAAGTGGGACTGGTGACTTTACAAGAAGAGGAAGAAAGACCTGAGATAGGATGCTCAGCCTCCTCATCACGTGATGCCCTGTGCTACCTGGGGACTCTACAGAGAGTTCCCACCAGCAAGAAGGTCTTCACCAGATGCAGCCCCTTGACCTTGGACTTCTCAGCTTCCGTAACTGTAAGAAATAAATTCCATTTCTTTATAAATTATACAGTTTTAGATATTCTGTTATAATCAACAGACAACAAAGACACCTACTGTCTGTGGGTCCTAGCCTGCAATATACTGCAAAATCTAACCTTGTTTTGTTTATTGCTCTGAACGTCCTACTAGGAATTTGCCCTAGAAGCTTCCTTGTGCTCTCCTGAAGCTGTGGGCATGGCATCTGTGTTTGCCACAGCTCTTGGTTGTGGGTATTTTTGTGTGAATACTAGGGGCCAACCTTATGTTTAATGTGCATTAAATAGATAATCTGAATATCCAAAGCAAAACCATACTTGCAGCAGGTAAACTGCTACTATGTGGGAGTTGTCAAAACATTCTATTAATAATTGATCGTTGTTTATTTATGGTCACCATTTCCCTTGGGCTGGGACTGAGTTACATCATATCTATAAGAGAATTGGGAGATTTGGAACTACTCATGGTACATACTACTATAGCCAACTTGCTACATCTTAAAAGAGAAGATCCCTGCTCTGTTCCCTGCCCAGTGACACAGTCTTGTGCTTTTGCTTTGGGAAGCTTTGCCAAGTGGTGATGACATAACTCTGCACAGCTGGCCCATTATCTCCACATCTGGGTCCCTGAGGAGGCAGCGGTGCTTTTGCTGCAGCTCTTTTCACACCAGAAATAACAGCAACACAGCTGCAGTATTCCAGAATGGCAGACCATGGGCCTAAACTGTGGCAGCCTTGGGTGAGCCAGGCTCAAAGGGCCAAGAGAGAGTCCTGTTCTACTTTAATCTTGTCACTAAAAGACCCCTCTTTGATCTTGTTTTCTGTGCGATGTTTTAGCTGATAGTTCCTGAAAAGACCACGTACTTTCTAAGCGAAAGCTGTCCTTTAATAAAGATGAGAGATAATAGGGCATTATGGATCTAAAGATAAAGGTGGGTTACAGCATCCTTTACTTTTCTTGGCTCCTCTCACAGAACCTAGCACAATGATAAGAACATTGTGACTTGGTGGGGGGAAAGTGCGGACTTGGTTTGCTTGTCACATAATGAGGAGGCTCTGATTTTCGCTTCCCTAAATCAAATGCATTGGATGTTTGCTACTTGCGAGGCACTGAGAACACAGAGATGAAAAAGGAAGCTCACACGAATGTGAGTGCCAAACACACAAAAATGTGCAGTAGATTCAGGGAATTGCTCTGCTGGATGTATGAGTGAGTTACTGGAGGTCACAGGATAGAGTAGCTGACTTTCCACAGAAGATGGGCTTTTCAGAAGAGGTGGCATTTGAATTGAAGTAATAATTTAGGAGTTTGCTAGGTAGAAAAGGCAGGCATATCAGGGAAATTAACACTGGCTGCTTTGTGTGAAACTCCAAAATCTTAGTAATTTCTCACCATAGAAGTTTGTTTCTCTGACAGTTCAATACAAATCCAGTGGCTTTTTCTAAGCAGTGACTCCAGGACCTAGAATCTTTGTTTTGATTCTCCACTGTCTTGTGCTGGCATCATGGAGGGGAAGAGAACATGAGACTGGTGCACCAGGTGCTCAAACATGTGACATTTCTGCTTACATGTCATTGGCCAGAGCCAGTCATATGACCAACCCAAGTACAGGGCAGGGGTGTGTAGGGAAGCATGCAGATATCAGTGTGCACCAGCTGTCTATGGCACAGCAGGAGAGGCACATGGGCCTGGTCAGAAATGCCCAAGAGGCAGTTGGAAATATGAGTTGGAGAAGATGGTGGGACCAGTGATTGAGATGTGTGGGGGTCAAGGGCGTAAAGATTGTATGTGAGGCCAGGGGAGTAGACACAATTAACCACGGAGCTGTGTAGAATGAGAAGAGAACAGGTGGGAGAAACCCCAGGGAATGCTGGTATTGAAGGGGGCAGAGAGAAAGGCAGGAAGATCAAAGTGTGACTTGCCTGACATCCTATGGAGTTAACCTCAGTCACATGGGATTGGGCTCTGAAAACCCGGTCTGCTGCTGCCTCATGGGACCAGCTATGGTCTGTGACTGAACGCACTATTTGTGTCCTCCTTGGACTCAGGTGCCACAGCCCTGGGAACTCTGATTCTATAAAAGTGGAGGGCTCTGTGGAATCATCTCTCTTCTGGGTTCTGAGGCCAGAGAAACTCAGCTTAGAAGGCTTTTTCTATGTCAGTGATTATCCAAATGAGCCTGTTTGCATCTCTGCTGGTCTGTCCCATGGGCCTCCTGAGTCAGGGAATGTCTGCTGGGGTTTTGGCAGTTGCCGCTTCGTCTATTCCTTGCTGTGGGTTTTTGTCCCTGAAGGATTGGGTTTAGATATCTCTTGGAGGAAAGTGAACCAGATGGTGCCCAATCTCCCATCCTGGAGAACTCTGGATTTCATTTCATAACTAATTTGACTTGATAGAAGATTAATATGAATATTCATGTTTTGGTGAAAAAAAATAATGAGTCTATACGATGCTCCCTCAGTCTCTGCTGGGGGTGTTCATATATGAGCTTTCTAAAGTTAAAAAAATCTGAATTCCGAAACTCATCTGACCCCAAAAAGTTTAGTTAAGGGATTGTCAAACTGTATATGGAGTTGTTGACAAATGTGCACCTTTGACAGCCTTGTAGTCTTGGCATCTTCCCTGGGACACATGATCAGTTCCTGTTGCTCCAGAGCCCATCTTTACACACTGAGGAAATAGAGTGAAGCGAGTGAGAACGCTGACTTTAGGCATGGAGAGCATTTAAGCTCAGTGTCTAGATTTCCAGGTTTAAGGGAAAGGTGGCCCTTCCCTCTGCACCTTGATGGGTTGGGACCTGCTGCAGCAAGAGGGAGGAACCACTGACACCACATCCCTCTAACAGGTCTCACCTCAGAGTCCTGGAAGAGCAGGAAGGGGCAGACGGGTATCTAGGAGATAGGGATTATTGAGGAGATTTGCACACACCTCACAGCTAATGGGGTGTGGATACACATGTGTCTTAAAAGATACACCTCATTGTTTCCCAGGGAGCCCTCTCCTGGCATCACTGATGTGCCTAGAAGTATCTCATGATTCGCCTGGAAAAGTTGTCTTAAAATTGGTATCTTCCTGTCACCAGTTCACTTGAATTTAGCCATAGATTTGCTTGCTCTAAACTACAAAGTTTATTTTAGTGATTTCCATGAAAATGTCTGTCCTGGTCTCTGTGGGTCATATGGGTGATATGAGGCTGTAAAACCAGACCCTTCCCTTTCTGTTGTGCCCCTGCCCTGCTGTCTAAAGAGTGGAAGACAGAGTCTGAAGGCAAGGGATAGAAATGCTCAGTGGCAAACCTAGGGCTCTGGTAATATGTCATCCACAAAACAGTTTTGGTCAGGAAGTGTTACCTCTGCTGCTGAGGTTGAAGAAGTAGTGTTCAGTTTATTCAGCAGAAAATAAGGAATCTATGTTTTTGCTTTAAAAAAAACTCCAAATTTTTAATATTGAAGTTTACTTCAAGCTGCTTGAGGAATATGCATATCTAGGGCTCACAAACTTTATTTAAAAGACTTAGCTGGTCCATGGATCTGAGAAGGATATGGCTGGAGATTTGGTCCAAATGCTGTTCTAGGAGGAATTCTGCTGTGTCATGCTTTGCAGAGACCAATGCAGGTTGCTTTTTACAAGCCCTTTGGCTCTCAGAAGCACTTGTTAATAGAAGGAGCTTTCTCATGCCTACCATAAATCTTTGACATTGAAGCATAATATCTTCAACAAGCAGCTGAATAGAGCTCTGTAATTCAAAGGTATCAAGGAGTTGTAACTCCAGACCAGCAAGGCCAGTCCCCATAAACCAGCTGTGACCTAAGCATCTTGGCAGTGATCTCTCCACCGTCCTGGGGTAATGAGGAGAAAAAGTATTCAAGGGGGGGTGTTTATACACTGGGAATATATCTGGCCTTGAGAGGGTGGAGAGCCTTATAATGTGTGTATGGGTGCAGAATGGTGCTTCTTCTGAAAAGTCTGCCTGCTTTTGTCCAGGGAAGCCATGGACTTTGTTTAAAAAAAAGAAAAAAAAGGAAAACCAAAACATTTCCCAAGTGGTGGGGCCTGGATCACTGGGGTGATCCAGTGATAATGTTGCAGTGACAAGAGCTTGGTAGAGATGTGGCATCCACCAAACATTGCCTTGTCTGATGCCTCATTACACACACACACCTGTACACACATGCACACGTACACACATGGATGTTTGTTTTTCCTTCTATTATCCTATCTATTTTGGCAAGCTCTGCCTTAACACTTAGCTCCTGGAGTGACCCCATGCCAAGGCAAGGAGAATTTGGTTCTTTTTCCCTCTAGATTGCAATGAGAGAGGAGCTGGTAATTTTCTTATGCAGGTCCCCATATTTTCTTGCTATTTCTAGCTGAGAGAAGAGAAAGTATATTTTCTCCCTGATTACTAGCTTGTCTGAGCAGTTTATTTGTCTCCTAACTCAAATGGTTCTGGACAGGCATTTTATTTAAAGCTGAACTGGAGTATTGCACTAGAGATTCTGGAGGGTTGTTATTAAATAGAAACTCATTCCCATCATATCTTCTTAAATTCTTGGGATTAAAAATTTCATTTCTGATGAAAGAGGACGGAGGGCAGGTGTCGGTGTCTCAGAGGCCATCCTTTCTGATGACTTTGTTTCGCGGTCTTTCCTAGCCCTTCCCTCTAAGTGGAGTTTTCACTGCTATCATTGATTGTGTCTCTACCTCACTGGATCCTCTGAGAGTTCTAGAAGAGTTTGAGAAGCAGGTGCTTCCTGTGCATCATACCTAAGGGTGATGAGGTTGACATGTAGATGTAGGTTAGACAGTCTATCCGTGTTTACATCATTGGTCCATTTATGACCATTCTTGGAATCTGAATGTCAAGACTTGCAGAAGCCTTGGTTTCTTTACTGTATGCCACATGGCCAGCCAGAGGCCTTGGGCATTAGTTTTCCTACAAGTAATTCCAGCCAAGTCAACCAGGCATAGAATGTGAGGAATAGTGAGTGAAAGTCCTTATTCAGAAGTGCACCTGGGGTTGTGTTAAAGCTGAAACAAATTCTAAAACACCCAGGAAGGGCTTTCAACCAGAGAACACTTAAAGCTTTTGTGCTAGGTTATGGAAACTTTTTCCTGCTAATCAGAGTTTCCAGGGCACTGAACGCTGACCACTTGCTGTGTTGCCACATTGGTTCCCTATGGCTACTGTAACAAGTTATTACAAACTTGTTGGCTTAAAACAACACAAGTTTATTTTTCTTACAGTTCCGAGGACCAGAAGTTTGAAATCAGTCTCACTGGGCTAAAGTCAAGGTGTTGGCAAGGCTGGTTCCTTCTGGAGGCTATAGGGGAGAAGCTGTTTCCTTACCTTTTCCAGTTTACAGAGACGGGTTTCTTTTGGCTCATGCCTTCCTTCCTTCCTCTGTTTTCAAAGCCAGCAGTGTAGCATCTTCAAACCATGTTTCTTCATCTCTCTGCTTCTGTCACACATATCTGCCTCTTGTCTTGCTGTCTCCTCCTGTTTCTGTTTTTTTTTTGTTTTTTGTTTTTTGTTTTTTTTTTTTGAGACGGAGTCTCTGTCACCCAGGTTGGAGTGCAGTGGCATGATCTCAGCTCACTGCAACCTCCGCCTCCGGGGTTCAAGGTATTCTCCTGCTTCAGCCTCCCGAGTAGCTGGGATTACAGGTGTGCACCACCACACCCGGCTAATTTTTGTATATTTAGTAGAGACGGGGTTTCACCATGTTCGTCAGGCTGGTCTTGAACTCCTGACCTCATGATCTGCCCAACTCAGCCTCCCAAAGTGCTAGGATTACAGGCGTGAGCCACCGCACCTGGCCTCCTCCTCTGTCTCTCTTATAATGACCTTTGTGATTCCACTGGGCCTGCCCGGATAGTCCAGAGTAATCTCCCATCTCAAAATCTCTCATTTTGATCACCTTAGCAAGGTCCCTATTGCTGTGTGAGGTGACTTTGACAGGTCTGGGGGCTTAGAGGGTGGGCATCTCTAGAGGAGCCGTTACTCAGCCTACCGCAGCATGCTGACATGGGCAATTGCTATGGTGCAGAACACCCCTTGGTGACACCACTACCATAGCTTCTTTCTAAAGAGATTTGGTTATAATAGCAATTTGGATGTGCCACTAGCCTCCTTAAAATGTGAATCTCCCTGTCAAAAGAAATAATAATTAAATTTCACAGAAGGACACAAGTGAGATTTGTTATCTTCAGGGAATTTCAAGGGTGGTGTTGAGGACTGCTGCAGTTTTGCCTGCTCAGTGTTTGTTTCCAATTCTTTGGTAACAGCCCCCTGCTTTTCCTTTGGGAACAGATCTCTCCCACCCGCTCTCAGTCTGTGTGATTCAGGTGGGGCACACCCCGTATCTAAGATCTGCAAGCAACATGCGACCCAGGACTCGCCAGGCAGTAGGGTCCATCTCCCTGTGTGATACAATTCCAGAGCTTTTGCTGGAACTATTGGGAAGCAGAAGCAATCTCTCCTTTGGAGTGTGGAGTTGTCAGGATGCAGAGCTGGAGCTGCTGAGCCCTCTCGTCTTCCTAGTGGACAGCCGTGGAGGCGGGGGGCCAGCTCAGAGGAAGGCAGAGCTGCAGGATGGAAACTGAAGCCATATAATTTTGAGCCCCTAGATCGAGGAATGCCTGAAGCCAACATATCTTTGTATTTTTCTGTTACAGGAGGTTTATTTTTATTTTTTTTACTCAATCCATGTTGGGAGACAGCATTCCAGGGCTTTCCTGTGTTTCTGCATTTCTTACAAACAGAGGTACTGGCTACCTTTGTTCCCAACTATTTTTCCTGGAATATTTGTATAGAAAACACCTCCGAATTGTCCAGCTACTAAGCAGCAATATCAGGTGAGATTATAAGCCCTTTGACTCCAAATTCTACTCTTCTCTCTCTGCTCTGTGAGGCCTAAATCATGACAGGCAACCACTGTTTACACCATGAACCATCCCTGGGTGTCACTATCAGAGACAGTCTAAAGTGCCTGGTTAATTGTTCTGATTCTTAGTACTTCTCCACTGAGCAAGTTGGGAGGGTGACAAGAGTCAGACCTTCCAGCCTCTGGGACTGATAGACCAGCTTGAGGCTTGCTAGCTGGATTGGCACTGACCAGTCTACACACCTACAACTCTTTATCCCAAGCCTGCTCAGTTGGTCAAGGACTCTGGCTTCCCTCTTTAGATTTACTCTGACATTGCATTAGATTGCTCCCACGCCCTGTTTCCAGTGTAATTACTCTTTTCCAGACCAAGAAAGCAGTGGAAAGAGGAAATCATTTTGTTTTGGCACACAATTTCAAAGACCAGGGAAACAGAATTATCTCAGGGTGGCTGTCATAAGAGCTGAGGGCCTGTGACTGTCACATGTAAGGGCGGCGCTGGAAATGCAACAAAGGACAACAGCATGGCTGGCTGTGGTTCTTGTCTTTGCAGTGAAGATCAGAAAGTGGAATCCAGGGGACCTTTTCCTTGCCTCAGGAATTCTATCTGGCATGATGGTCATTTATCTTGAGTGTAATTAAGGCACTCAAATCTTTCAGTTAATATTCAACAAATGGGAGTGAAGACTATACAAAAAAACTTTTCATTATCTTGAAACAAAGACGGAAAAAAGCAAATCCTGTTTTGTCAGCACCTGTTTGGTATCATGTAAGATTGTTGAAGGGTCAGAGCTTCCAGCTGACACCTGTCAATTGGGCCTAGTTGGGCCATTTTTCTCTGTACTAACCTAACTCTCCCAGCTGCCGGTGGCTGCCCTGATCACATTAGCTGCTGCTGTGGAGTATTCTCTCTAAGGGGAAGCTACTGAAAGGGCAAAGCATGGAAAAGAGTGTGTTACGGTTGAATTGTGCCCAGCTGATGAAGTCCTAACCACCAGTACTTCAAAATGTGACCTTATTTGGAAATAGGGTCTTTATAGAAGTGATAATGAAGCAGCATCATTGTCTAGGGTAAATACCCGAGGTTTGTCATCTCACAGCAAGGAAATCGAGTATGCGGACACACAAGAAGTGGGTTTAGGAGTGGAGGTTTAATAGGCAAAAGAAAGAGAAAAGGGAACAGCTCTTTGTCTTGAGGAGGTGATGTCTGATTTACATAGGGCCCAAAGATTGGTTGGACCAGGTGTGATGTTTACATGGCATGAGGAAGCTAGCCTGGCTGGTGCCATGTCACCTGCTCATTACTGTACACATGGTTGGCAAAGAAAAGGGAAGATGGAGCCGCCATTTTGGACATGCCTACTCCCCCCATAGCCTCTTTCCTATTGGCACAACTGCCGGCATTCAAACTGCCATGCCAGCTTCCAGCTTGCTTGTCTATGTCTGCGTTCGATTTTACAAGCTGCTCTTTGTTAGAAAATGGTTTGGGGGCTGCTTTTCATTAAAAGGAAAACCTTACCGAGGACTTCCTCACTATCTGCCTAAATAACTTCTTCTTACTTCCTATATCAATAAGTTAAAAATGAGATTATTAGGGTAGACTCTGGTGTCCTTATAAAAAGGGGAACTTTGAATACTGAGATAGACATGCACAGAGGAAGATAATGTAAAACCACAGGGACCCAGGCGGCCATGGGGAGATGGAGGCAGGGATTGGAGTGATGCTGCCACAAAGGAACACCTGGAGCCACCAAAAGCTGGGAAGAACAAGGAAGGCTCCTCCCCACCAGATGTTGAGGGGAGCCTGTCCCTGCTGGCTCCTTGATTTCAGATTTCTAGCCTCCGTAACAAACAGACACTAAATTTCTGTGGTTCTAAGCCACCTGGTTGGTAGTATTTGGTTCTGGCTGCCCTAGGGAATGAATATAGGGAGGATTCTGTTGTGTGGAGTATGAAGTTGGGGTAGGGAGAGGTACTGAGATGGGCTGCCAGTGACTCTTCCTCACTGTAAGAAACAGTTCATGAGTCCAGCAGCTGGAGGGCCAGAAACGCCCACTTCAAATGTTCAGGTCCACATGATGGTTAGACTTTGCTGTCTGGGCATGGGCCCTAGGACAGACATTCCAACAGTGTGAAGTGAGGATGGGAGTAGTCAAATGCCCGGTCGCAGCAATGTCACATGGTTATCCAGAGGCACAGTGAGGGCCCTGGGAGGTGAGAAGCAAGGAAAGCCAGCCTTCTGGTTCCTGGAGAGCCATTGTCTTTCACAGGTGATCCAGGTCAGGCAAGAGCAGGGATGTGGTAGGTGAAGGCAGGTGAGCAGAAACAGGGCCCCACAGTGAGTGTCCCGGATGCACCAATAAGCCACTTTTAAAACAAAGCCAAACTTCCAGCCCCCGCCTGACTTCATATTTATCTTCTCCTCTTCTGCCCTTCTCTAACCCCTGACATTGATTACACAGGAAGCAGCAGATAGGAATAACTAGCCTGGCAGTGTATGTCACCCTGTGTCAGGCTGGCAGATTGAGGCTTCCGGGCAGGGCAGGCAGAGCTGATACTCCACTTGAGAGCCACCCTGCATCCCACCAACCCAGGGCCGAAGCCTTTGTCCCCTGGGCGCTTGCTGGCGCATGTGCCCACAGAGCCTCTCTGCGCCCTTTTGTTCTCCTCTGGCTATTGTAGCGTGCCAGCTGCTGACCACTCTTGCCCAGAGAAGGAGGCAGCTGCTAATTTTAGCCCTACTTAGGTCTCCAGACAGCACATCTCAGGACTTAAAAAAAAATATTTTTTGGTTACATTTTTACATGACCTTGGGAAACAAAAAATTGGGAAGACTTCACCTGATATCAGTAAAATGAAAAGGGAAATTTAACCTTTGTTTTAAAAAAGTTATTGTATTTCTTTGCTGTTAGAAATCTCCTGGGGCCAGGGGCAATGTCTAAGAGAGTTTACTTGTAACCTGTGGCTTTTAGTGGGGTAAGAAGACAGACAACTGAGCGCTAAGCCACGGGATAGAACATTCCGCCCAGAGAGCACTAGGAAGATGTTTCTGGCCTGCTTGGGGGAGGCCAAGCCACCCTGTTGATGACAAGGGAATGTGGATTTTTGCTGGGTAAACCTGATTTCCGTTTTTCCCCATTGTTTACATGTTGGGTAGATGGGACCACTCTCATTTGTCTTGGTTCCAAGCTGGGTCGCCTCAGTGAGAAGGCCTTTGAAACACATCTGTTGAATCATGCACAGCAGGGAGCCATTTGTGTTCTGAGGGTTGTCAATCATAGAAAATCTGAAAAATACCAGACAACATAATGGCACAGCAGCCAAACCATGCCTGGACATTTTCTGGTCACACAGGTCTGTCTGTGGAGCTGCGCTTTTTCTCAGACAGTCATTGGGTTTCTTTTTAATAAGCTAGAAGAAACCAGCTAAGTTTTAACTTAACAAAATTGTTCCTGATCTTGTTGTTTTTCTGTTTGTGTTCACAGTTATCCATAACTTACTTTAGTCATATTTGAAGCTAACCTCTTGATTACTTTTCTCACTTTATGACCGCGCTTTAAGATTGCTGGAGGGTTGGCTCATGACTTTTGGATTGCAATACAAAATTTCTATCAGCCAGGGCTTTACTAAGAAAAGCAAAAGTACATGGCAAGGAAATAAGCAATGTGGGAAGCATCTCAGCTTATCTGAGGCAGGAGAAAGAGGGACAGTGGTCAGCTGGGTCTGGGTGCAAGGCTAAGTTATTTTTACAGAGAATACTGCTAGAAGGAGAGGGTTTTGGGGACATAGTGCTTTGATATATGCATTGAGGACAAAAAGGTGAATGGCTCAGGGATGCACCAATAAGCTGATTTTAAAACAAAGCCAAACTTCTAGCTATCACTTGCCTTAATATCTGTCTTAATTTTGTCTTCTGGGTGAGAAAGTCACCATAGAGGAGGTGACATCAGAGGTGGGCTTAATGGATGAGTAAGTCCAGACTCGGGGGATGGGGCACAGCCTGTACAAAGATATGGAGGTATAAATCATATATTCAAGAACTGCAAGCATCCTGGGATCATAGCCAGAGAGAATGCAAGGTGTGATATTGATGAGTAAGCTGTTTGCACCAACAAACACCAGGAAGGTAACCTGAGGATCAGAGAAGCCCATACATGCCATGCTGAGGTGTGTGCACTTCATCCTTAGTAGGCTGAGAGAGGCAGGAACTACAAGGATTTTTGCAAGAGAGTGACATGATTTTCATCTTTGAAAGATCTATCTAGAGGTCATGTGAAGGGGAGCAGTACTAGGCGCAGGGTGATCAGGGGGAGGCGGTGGGAAAGATGATGAGGCTGTCAGCTATGGCTGTCGCGCATCAAAGGACAGAAAAGATGGAAGAAGAAATCTTCAGAGTTCTCCCAGGGAGAATTTTAGGGAATCTGTTAAGTCTTCATAATTTGTACAATAATGGTTTTGGTACCTCTGAGATGGGCAAAAATACTTGAGGTTTATCCTTTTTATTTGGTAGCTCATTATAGATTAATTTCTGAAGTTTGGAGAAAGAATGGTCACTCCAGATTTCCCCTCTGTTTCTTTGGCTTTGCCCCTAGAATTTGAAAGGATATGCAAGTGCCAAGGAGAATGTCAAAACAAAGAGGGGACGCTTTGCGGAGATGAGCCACTTATTCCACGTACTACCTGAATGAATACTTTTTCCAAGGCTAAGTTCGTTCTGGAAGGGGGGTGCCTTTTATAGAAAGTGTTTGTTCTCTGCAGATATTTTACAGATATTTCAGGTTCGTCTTTTGTTTCCTTAAACATCAATAAGCATAGCTGCTTTGTAATCTATGTTTGATACTTTAAATATTTTAAATCTGTATGAATCTGTGTCTGCTGTGTTCTTGTACTGCTGGGTTTTACCCCTAACTTCTCTTTCCTTGGATACTTGGTTATCTTTGTCTATGTGCTGCCCATTATCTTGCTTAATTACATGTGAGGTATTCCTGAGGCCTAGTGTGAAGGTATCTTCCTCCAGACAAAATTTGTGCTTGTATCTGCCAGACCAATAGGGCTGACCCAATAGTTACATTTCCTTAGGGAGGGATTCACTTCCCTCCCCTTCTCCTTTGGAGGTGGGAACTAGGTTTACTTCTGGTTCACCCTTAACCTGAGGATGATTATGATTATTTTCTGGGCCCCAGCTTAATGTGTTTTTGAGGTCCACCTGTTAGACTTATTGCTTTTGTCAGGCTCTGGGATTTTTCTTCTGCTATCTTATCCCAAAGGCTGCAGCACAGTCTAGACAGACAGATGTCTTCAGGAAAAAAACAACTTTAAGAACTTTCTTTGCCTCCTTTGGTTCTCATTTTCTCTTAGATTTTGGCCTGGTTATTCCTTACTGTCTTTCCGGAATGTTGCTAGCTGTTTGGGGAAAAAATTAAAATATTTATCTGACAATTTTAGAATTCTATTTTCTCCCAGTGGTAGTATTGGTACAAATAATATACCTACCATTGCCGGAAACAGAAGTCTTAGATTCTACAGAAATCCTGCTTTTCCTCTGAGTCAAACATCCCAATTGAAACATCTAAGGTATGACAATATGCTTCAAATATAAATAGGAAGTGTTAGGTAAATGCCTTATTAGTGAATTCATATTGAATTGCTAAGAGAAGTTAGGTGTGTCTGAGATATCCCCTGATTTCTGAGGGCTGTTACAGAGACAGTGTAGGATGGTAGTGGAGGACTCTGGAATCAGACACAATTGAGCCACTTTACTAGTATGGGAACTTGGACAAGGGACCTAACCTCTCTACTACTCAAATTCCCACCTGTAAATTGAGAAAAACACCTACCTCGTAGGGGGTTGTAGAGATTAAATACGATAATAAATATAACCTTACACAGTTCCTGGCATGTGATGACCCCCTACTAATGGTAGCTGGTTATTGGTACTGGTATTATATTAACATTATTCTGCCACATGGCCCCATTTTTCTTCTATCAAAATAATTTGGTGGATATGTACATGCAAAAGAATGAAGTTGGATCCATATCTCACATCATATACAAAAGTTAACTCAAAATGGATCAAAGACCAAAATGTAAGAGCCAAAACTATAAAACTCTTAAAAGAAGATAAATCTTCATGACTTTGGATTAAATAATAATTTCTCAGATATGACACCAAAGATACAAGTAACAGAAGAAAAAATAGATCAATTGGGTGTCATCAAAACTAAAAACTTTGGTGCTTCAAAGGACAACATCAAGAAAACGAAAATACATCCAGAATATGAGAAATTTTTGCAAATCATATAATGATGAGAAACTTGTATCTAGAATATATAACTCAATGATAAAAAAGACAAATCACCCAATTAAAAATGGGCAACCGGGCATGGTGGCTCACACCTCTAATCCCAGAACTTTGGGAGGCCGAGGCAGGAGGATAATGAGGTCAAGAGATCGAGACCATCCTGGCCAACATGTTGAAACCCCGTCTCCCCTAAAAATACAAAAATTAGCTGAGCATGGGGGCACACGCCTGTAGTCCCAGCTACTCGGGAGGCTGAGGCAGGAGAATCGCTTGAACCCAGGAGGCAGAGGTTGCAGTGAGCCAAGATTGTGCCTCTGCACTCCAGTCTGGCAACAGAGTGAGACTCCGTCTCAAAAAAAAAAAAAGGGGGGGGCAAAGGACCTGAATAGATATGTATGCAGAGAAGATCTACAAATGATTAATAAGCACATGAAAAGACATTCAGCATCGTTAGACTTCAGGAAAATGCACATTAAAACCGCAATAAGATACTACTTCACAGCTACTCAGATGGCTATAATAACAAAAAATGGAAAATAACAACTGTTGGTGAGGATGTGGAGAAATTGGAACCTTTACTGCTGATGGGAGTGTAAAATGGAAAACAGTTTGGGCTGCAGTCTGGTAGTTTCTTAAAAAGTTAAACATAGAGTTACTATATGACATAGCAATTCTACTCCTGTATATGTGCCCAAGAAAGATGAAAACTTATGTTCACACAACACTTGTATGTGAATTTTCATACCAGCATTCTGTGTAATAGCCAAAAAGTAGAAACAATCCAAACATCTGTCAAATGATATGTGGCATATCCATACAATGGAGTATTATTCAGCAATAAAGAGAAATGAAGTACTGATTTATGCTACAACATGGATGAACCTTGGAAACACGGTAAATGAAAGAAGCCAGTCACAAAGGACCACATGTTGTTGATTCTATTTATAAAATGTCCAGAATAGGCAAATCTATAGAGACACAAATAGAATAGTAGTTGTCTGGAACTGGGAGGGATAGGGATTTGTAGGGTAATAGCTAATGGGCATGGGTTTCTTTTTAGGGGATAATGAAATATTCTAAAATTGAATATGGGGCTTGGTATGGTTGCCTATGCCCATAATCTTAGCACTTTGGCAGGTTGAGACAGGAAGATCACTTCCCTTGAGTCCAGGATTTCGAGACCAGCTTAAGCAACATAGAGAGACCCTGTATTTACAAAAAAAAAAAAAAAAAAAAAAAATTCTTTTAAATAGCCAGGTGTGGTGGCATGTGCCTGTAGTCCCAGCTTCTCTGGAGGCTGAGGTGGGAGGATTGCTTGAGCCCGGGAGGCCAAGGTTGCAGTGAGCTATGATCACACCACTGCACCCCAGCCTGGGTGACAGAGTGAGACCCTCCCTCAAAAATAAAATACTTAAAAATTAAAAACAAAAATGATTGTGGTGATGGTTCAACAACTCTGTGAATATACTATGAGCCACTGAATTGTGTTCTTTAAATTGGTGATTTATGTGATATGCAAATCTTATCTCAATAAGCTGTTAAAAACAGTTTAAGGTTAAAAGATAATTGATCCGATATGGCCCTATCTGCTCCGTCCATCTGTCTATTTGTCTTCCCATCCATTTTATCCATTCATCCATGCACCCAACAGCCTGTCCACTCTTCCTTCCTTCAACCCATTCATTTGGCCATTTACCTTTCCTTCTGTCCTCCCAACTCATCCCATGCCATTTTGCCTTCCTCCCTCACTCTGTCAATCCAAAACAAAAAACAAAATACAAAAAAAAACTTGATTTGCTGCTCATCTGCTAAAGTTTAGTCTGTACTAGTCATCATGTAAGTCTCTGCTTTTCATCATGCTAGTTTGGCATTTCCAGTGTCCTTGTGACTTGCCACTTAGCATAAGATGAGTTTTCCAAGCTCTCCAGAGGAAATGCTCTTTATCAATCCATCCAGTAAACAGATGGATGCATAGATGTGGGGAGTTTGATACATAGCCAGCGTCTTGCTGAAATGGCAGGAACATCCAGGTTGCATCTCACCTGAGAGAAGTCCTCAAAATGGTGTGCAGAAAATTTGGGGTTTGTTGTTTGCTATGACATCTCAGTGTTAAATGTGCATGACACTCACTCTTTCCTCCTTTCAGTGGCGCAGTGCAGGTTTGATGCCTGGTAGCTGCATTCCCCATTATTAACACAATGTTGAGTGATTTCAAGGTTGACCTGGTTCAAAACAACTTTCTTAATGAGACCGTTCCCCTTTGTGTCATCGTTAGTATGATGTCAGTTCTTCCCTTGCCCAACCTCCAGTACAGTTGTTTCCTAACTTTATTGCCCATCAGAGTCACCTGGAAAGATTATTTAAAATGCAGAGTCCTGAGCTCCTGCCTTTAAGAGATTCTGATTCAGTGGGTCTAGGGTAGCATCCAGGAACCAGTGTTTTAAGGAGCACCCCTAGTGACTCTTGATTGGAATGTTCCTTGTACTACCCTGAGATACTCTACCATAATTGATCTGTTAATGCCAGCATTAGTTAACAGTATGGGAGACTTCTAATTTCCCTGCCTGGCTAGTGCTCATTTCTTCAAGCCTGGAAGTGTTAATCCATGGCTAAGAAGAAGCCATTACTATTCTGTGTATCTCCGACTGAGTTAGTGGGTAGATTATAGTGCTTTGAGAGTTTCGAAGGTGGCAAGAACTCAGCAGCCCTAGGCAACTCTCATATATCCAGTGATGTAGATACTACAAACTAACTTATCCAAATAATCAGTGTCTGGGGTTAGAAACATACTGTTTGATATTAGATTTTTGCCCTTCTTCATTTTTCTTGGCTTAATAAGAAAACTTTTTGGAGACAAGAGGGAGTGGCCTTATGAAGAGAATTGTTTGGGGCTAAGGGGTGAAATTAGATGTTAGTTGTAATGAAAACTCTTCTCTGACCACAGAATACTGAGTTCTGACTCCAATAAGCTGAGTATTGGGCTTTAAAATGCCTCTAGATCTGCACACAACTCAAGATGCTATGTGGACACAGTTTTTTTTTTCTGATGAAGGTATAAACCCATCAGAACACTAAATTCCTCACCATCAAAATGTCTTTGCCAAAGCCCTAACATGGAACTGTATTCAAAACATGCGTGCGTGTAACCCCCGCACTCCGCCCCCCACTGCCCCCCACACACGCACCCCTTTAGGCTAATGTTAGCCAGCTTTGTTATTTGGGATTTTGAAGTACAAACAAGGAAATGGGAGGCTTAAACTAAATTTCAGCTGGACCTGAGGGAGAAAATACTGCAATAGCATCTTGCCTTAGGTGGACACGATTATGGTTTGCAAAGCACATTTATTTGCATTATAGTCCTATGATATAGATTGAACTAGAATTCAAGTTAAATGACCTGCCAAACCCACCTAGGTAGTAAATGGCAGAGCTGATTTTTGAGCCCATGTCATCTAGCTGCTGCTTCAGTGCTATTTTCACTACATCACACTACTAAGAAAATGCTGGGGTTTTACGAGTTATCTGGCTGGATTTAATAACTGAAAGGAACCTTACCTTGTTCTTTAGGGTACGAATTATGAGCTACTGAATACTGTATGAAAAGAACTGTGTAAATGTTTGTGACATGGTGTCAGTGATTAGTGTATGTGTTTTCGGGAAGAATTGAATGTCCATATAGTGGGGCAGGAAAATCTCAGCACTTGTCTTCCTATTAGTATCTCTTTTAGGAAGACTCCCAGGAACATATAACACACATATAGTAAAATGCACAAGTGTTAAATGTGCCGAATGATCAGTTTTTAAAATTGAAGACACCTGTTTAGTCAGTACCCAGCATCCTGGAAGTTACTCCTTGTGATCCCTTTTAGTTGTAATCCCCTTTAGAGTAACCAATACCCTGTTATCTATTAGGTTGGTACGCAAGTAATTGCAGTTTTTGCCATTAATTTTAATAGCAAAAACAGCAATTACTGTGCACCAACCTAATAACAATATAGATTAAATTTTGCCTATGTTTGAACTTTATTTAAATAGAATAATAAGGTACTAGCAGTTCTGCTATAATGCTTGTTTTGAAAATGCAAATTTCCATTATGATTGATGCATTAGAGAACAATTCAAGCATAACGCAATTTAGTGTTTGCTTATATGCAATTTTGTCCTCAGGAAATTCTAAGTGAATGCAGAAAACTTCACTCAGCGAAACTGAGCCCAGTAGGGACACACAGCATGCACATACGCGTACCTCATATATCTACCAGCCACCTGGGTTGATTGTGTTATGAGACACACCCATCCACATCTAGTGTTACACATTCCATCCAATCGTAGGCAATGCTGCTTCTGCCATGTCACAATAACTTGCAAGCTGCAACCCTTCTTACACCCTCTTCCACAAGCAAACTTCAGGTCTTTTTCAACATAAAATCTTATTTATTCTAGTATGTATGCAGTTCTTAACAATTTTACATGTGTAAAACTGTGCTTCCATTTTTATTAGATTTCTGTATTTTTTTAAATTTGTCACTGCCAAAGTTTTGAATGTTTTGTTCCTAACCCTGTCTTTCCCATAAGCCCTATGATTTTAGTTGCATGCGTTTGCATATTGCGTTACTTTTGAGGAACACATCCATCACATTAAAGCAGAAGGGACTGTATTTCTCTTTTGTGTCTGGCTCCTTTTGAGATTATGTTTGAAAGATTTATCATTGTTATGTATAGCAATAGTTCATTCATTTTCATTGCTGTACAGTATTTCGTTGTGTGAACATACCACAATTCATGTATCTATTCAACTGATGATGGACTTGTAGATTGTTTTTAGATTGAGACTGTTAAAAACCTTGTACATATTTCTGTTGAGTATATACTCAGGAAATTGCTGGGTCTTATAATATGTGTATGTTCAGCTTCAGTAGAAGTGGCCAGTTTTCCAGTGGGGTTGCACCAATTTATTGTCTCACAAGAGTGCATGAGGAACCTAGTGGCCTCAAATCCTTTCCAAAACTTGTAACTGTCTTTTTAATTTTAGCTATTCTGATAGGTGTGTTTGGCATCTCATCATGATTTTAATTTGCATTTCCTTGATGACTAAAGTTTAAGTATCTTTGCAATGTTTATTAGCCATCTGTATACTCTTTTCTGTGAAATGTCTTTAGAAGTCTTTTGGCCATTTAAAAATAATTGAGTTGATTGGCTTTTTCTTCTCGATTTATAGGCATATATTCTGGGTAAGAATTTTTTGTTGGTTTTATATGTTGTAAATATGTTCTCCCACTCTGTGGCTTCCATTTTTTACTCTTTTAATGATGTTTTCTGAGGGACAAGGTTTTTACTTTTCAAGTCCTATTTATCAGTGAGTTCCTTCATTGTTAGTACTTTCTATGTTCTGATTAGGAAATACTTGCTTACCCCAAGCTCATGAAGATATTGCTCTATGTTATCTTCTATTAGTAGAAGCTTTACTTTTTTAATTTCCCTATTTACATCTACAATATGTTTAGTATTAATTTTGTGTATAATGTGCGATAGGGATCAATTTTTTTTGGTCTGTTTGGATATTTAATTGACCCAGCAACATTCATTGAAAAAACCATTGTATCCCCCACAGATGTGTACTACAGCCTTTGTCATAAATCAAATGTCCATGGTCTGTTTGCCTCTTGCTGGGCCAATACTGCACTATCTTAAATCTTGTTGCTGTGAATGTAATTCCTTAATCTTCATTCTTCAAAATTGTCTTGGATACACTTAAATTTTTTACTTCGGAAACATCTTGTCAGTTTCTACAAAAAAATTTAACTTGGTTGGCTTTAGATTGGAATTACATTGAATGTGTATATAAATTTGTTAAGAATTGACATCTCTACAATATTGGTACATCCCTTGATTTATTTAGGCAACAAATATAAAACTCATAGTCAGTGTTAGTCTTTGATTAATCACAAATGAAATGATTATTTATATAGGTGGGGAAGTATCTTATGTATTCCAAAATGTTCTGGAACATACCATGCGTCCAGAGGGTGAATCATTCCTTCCTCTTTTGTAAGGCATCATGGTAATCATGTCAGTTGAAGTTGGAGATGCAGAGATGGAGGAGATCATGATTTAGCACTGGTCAATGAATCTTTTGCAGATTTTGTGTGAACGACCTGGCTGCAGAGAGTGGCATTTGCGTTGTCTTTCAGTAGATTCATTTTTTTTTTTTTTAACCACCAGACAACTTTGTTGGAAGAGAAAAAGGAACATCTTATTCAATTTAATAGACAGAATTTAAATACAAAAGAGCTAATTGCAGAAGCATCTGGAAACATTACACAGATGAGCCAGTGGTGTTTAGAGGTGGTGGAAAATGATATATTCATATGCCAAGAATTAAGATGTGATATTTTTGAAATTTTTATTTTATGGAGAAATTTCTTTTTTTATGGAGAAATTTCTTTTTTTTTCTGTTTTAAGATCTGTAGCTTAAAAGATGGATATTCTGAAGAATTATTTAGAAATTTGGAGGTCCTCTGGCCCACCTCTCTCCCAAAGCAGCACACTGATTCCAGTATACTTTGCAGAAGCCATAGAATTGTAGATAGTTAGATCCAAAAAGATGTTGGAGGAGAGACTCTGGCCTAACCCTCCCATTTTGGAAAAGACACTGAGGTCTAGAGAGGTAACATTACTTGTATACAACCAGGACTAGAGGCCAAGTCTCCTGACTCTCAGACCAATGCTCATTTCAAGAGTTCAGCATTTCTCAAAGTATTCTCAAAGTATAATCCAAAGAAATAGTAATCATTTTGGGAGAGTGAAGTGCGTCATCTAAGAAGAAGTAGCCTTGGGCTGGATGCTTTGACTCATGCCTGTAATCCCAGCACTTTGGGAGGCCAACGCAGGCGGATCACCTGAGGTCAGGAGTTCGAGACCAGCCTGGCCAACATGGCGAAATCCCGTCTCTACTAAAAATATAAAAATTAGCTAGGCGTGGTGGTGGGCGCCCATAATCTCAGCTACTTAGGAGTCTGAGGCAGGATAATTGCTTGAACGTGGGAGGCAGAGGTTGTGGGAAGCTGAGATCATGCCACTGCACTCCAGTCTGAGTGACAAAGCAAGACTCCATCTCAAAAAAAAAAAAAAAAAAAAAAAAAAGTAATAGTAGTCTTGGGAGAGTGGAGTGATCAATCTAAAAGGGGATCCTTGGCAAAATTAGTTTGGGAACTTTTGCATAGCATGTCTTCTTTTGGAAATTTATGGTATACATTGGCACTTTTGCCATATAGTAAGGAGAGTTATTTAATTTTAATTCGGTCTTTTCTAAACATTTAACCATGGACCACTTTTTGCACAGAACAACTTGTTATAAGACCTGGGGCACTCCGGGAAACCTGCAGTAGGTGATGTGGGTCTGCCTGACAGCCTTTGCCGCTGGTAAGGGCTCTCCTTGTAACTTCCACTTACTGCGCATGGCCGTGTCCTCTGGAGTGGTCATTTGGAGGTAGGGTTTCTCTCACATTTACTAATTGCACTTGCCTGGGCCTTTAATATATTTAAAGTTAATATATTTAGTTAATATATTTAGTCCTCACAAAATTTTCTAGAAAGGTGGTTAGTATAATCTCTGCTTTATAGATGAGGAAACAAAGAATCCAAGAGGTTACACAACTTGTTCAAGGCCACCCAGCCTAGCGGACGGGACAGGCTTGCCGTCACACCTAGCTGCCTCCCTACCAGATACTACCTTCCTTATTATGGAGACACCACCATTTGTTGCTGTACTTTTTATGAAATCCACTTTATTTAGGTATATATATTTTTTTGAGACGGAGTCTCTCTCTGTCGCCCAGGCTGAAGTTCGGTGGCACGATCTCAGCTCACTGCAAGCTCTGCCCCCCGGGTTCACGCCATTCTCCTGCCTCAGCCTCCTGAGTAGCTGGGACTACAGGCGCCTACCACCACACCTTGCTAATTTTTTGTATTTTTTAGTAGAGATGGGGTTTCACCATGTTAGCCAGGAAGGTATAATTTTTATACAGTAAAATGCAGTCCCTTTATCGCAAGTACTGGATAGTATTCAACACATTTTGACAAGTTGATATACCTGTGCAGTTGCTGCCACCATCAAGCTATGAAGCAATTAACGTGGTTGGGTTCGCACTGCGAGGTGTATGCTTTCTTTCTCAGTTCTGTCCTCAAAGCTTTTGCTGTGTTGCTGTGGGTCTGCTTTGTGCCACTCAAGGTTTAGTCTGGGACTCGATCATGCTTGAAATGTTAGTTCAGTTGCCCAGGCCTTCCTGATACCAGTTTGGGTCCCTCCTGTGCAGCTGAGGCCTGCATCTGAGACTTGTAGTGGTTCATGCACTGGAAACCCCTTACCCAGCTCACTCTCTTTCAGGGTTCCCTATACGCTCTCTAGCCCACAGGGCCCCCTTTTTTTGATCACTTTGGCCAGAAAGATCAGATTTCCATCAGGAGTTTAGCCTCCCTGTTGCTGCTTCACCCTGCAGTTCTGCAACTGGGACCTGCCCTCCCAGCTCAGCTGAGAGATAAAAGAGGAAAAAGATAATGGGAAACTCACCCCCGTGCTTCAGCAAGTTTTGAGTCCTCCAAAATCTGCTGACTGTGTTTGCTTTTTTGAGTACTCTGGTAGTTGCTTTGTATACTTTGCACGGAGTTTTTCATGTAAGTAGTGGGAGATCATAGTGGAACCAGAAGTCTCTGTTTACTTTTAAATATGTTTGGTTTTTGTTACAAGAGACTTCTAAGCAGCTGGACTTTAAGGCCTATTTTTAAAAACTCCTGAGAATAAAAGGGACTATGCATATTATTATACTAAAGCAGAAAAAAATATTTACAAACTCCTAGCCTGAACCTCTTGCGCTGGCAGGATAAGTTCCTGTTTTCTAATCTCCAAAGGAATGAATGAATGTTCTCACCACTGTGTGCTCTATTCTAATCCTTTTAGGCCTAATGAAGAGGCTGTGAACATATCCCTGAGCCCTAGGATTAAAAGTCAAGACAAAAGCCCGTAAGACAAGAAGACACTGAATCCTATTTCTTGCTTTTATGAAAATTACAATATCTCTTGGAAAGAAAAACTGTGTTTCTTTTGCCAATATTTTTTATCACACTAAGGAAAATTTGAAAATAACAGAAATGGAAGAAAATAACCTATAATCCCATAACCCAGAAATAATCACTGCTAACATTTTCTCTTAGCTTACAGATCTTGCAGAAATACATCTTTATCTTCTGTTTACAATTTTACTACAGTATTAACTATGGAGTATAAAAATGATTATGAACTGAAACTCTAGATATTTTATATAAAAATCTTCTCATTGTATATTTAAAATAATTCTGAGAAATTAATGGCTAGTTGGCAATAAATGAAGATCCGTAATTTGTTCATTATTTTAAAATAAAAAACATTAGCATCCCCAGCTATTCCAATTTTGAGTAAAATTATTCACTCAAATCTTTAAAGAAAAAAGAGATGCAAGTAATGGATGATTTCTTCCCACTGTATTAGCCTCCTTGAACTGCTGTGGCAAAGACCACAAACTAGAGAGTTTAGGTAACAGAAATTTATTCTCTCCCAGTTCTGGAGGCTTGAAGTCCATAATCCAAGCGTCAGAAGCGCATTCTCTCTTCGAGACTTGGTAGAATCCTGCCTTGACTCTCCCTTGCGCTTTTCATGTTCCTTGGATTGTAGCTACATCACTCCTATCTGTCTCCTGTCTGTCTTTTCTTCTGATGAGGACACCAGTCTTAATTAGTTTTAGGGCCTATCTTCATTGAATGTGACCTCATTTAACTTCATTACATCTGCAAAGATCCCACTTCCAAATCATTACATTCTGAGGTACTAAGAGTGATGACTTCTACATACCTTTCGGGGGACACAATTCAACCCATAAGACCTATTATTTGGTCCTTTTCCCCATTCCACTGGGGACATTTTTCCTCCAGCCAGGATGCCTATCTCTCCACTGTAACCAGCAGAGCTGCCTCAGACAGAAATGTCATATGGCACGTTAGGGGGAGTTGCCTTATGCGGTACCCTGGCCGCCATCCTCCCTGCTTCCCACCGCCCCCAGCCCTGTAAACCTGTCCACTCCTTTTCTACCCCCACCCCTTATCCTGATATCTCTGGCAAGGAGTTAGAACCTTACCAGAGCTGAGGGCATCTTTCTGGTTTTCACAAGAACAAAAAGCCGAGGGTAAATGTGAAACTATGTGGAGGAAACAGATTTCTCTTCTTAAATTTCCAGATTCAGAAACAATTATTGAACATCTGTTATGCCTGGGCACTGGGCCAGTTTCCTTTAATCTGTGTAAAATCATTTACTTAAAATGCTATACAACTTTTATTGCTGAGGAGACAGTTTTAGCTAGGTCAAGTCACATAGTAGGTACATTTCAGAGTGGGGCTTTAAATCTGCAATGGCAGCCTGAAGGTAGAAAAATTGTAGTAAAGAGTCTGGCTCCGTTTTTGGTGCTTAACTACTGACAGCTTTCAAGCCCCACCCCTCTGTTTTCTTGTGTCCCACCTCTGGGTAAGCCTGTAAGAAAACAGACCTGGCCCTTTCCTGGGTGCTGGCAGGAAGTTCAAACCAAACAAACCCAACCACTGGTCTGACCCTCACCACAGTTAAAACCAAAGCCACTTGCCTTTCCCTTTGTTTAAGCTGGTTTGGAATGGCTTGGATCTCTGCTATCTCCAGAAAGCCACATTATATGAGTAATAACCTTTTCAGACCCTCCTGGTGCAGTATGATGTAATCAGTCTCAATGTCTGAGCCAATTTTGCATGGAGAATCTGTGTAACATCCACAGATAAAAGTAAGGAAATTGAGTGCTGCCTCACTGATCCTCAGAGGCCTAGTATGAACATATAGTCAGCATACGTTCAGCTGACGGAGACTTGAAGCCATGCATTTATTGTTGAGGTCCTTTCTCCCCAGCAGTGTACTTGGTGAGGACAGTGATGGAGACAAGGTTCTTTCCGTCTTTGCAGTATTTGTTTCTTCTCTTCTGCTGTTGCACAGGTCTGAGTTCTTTACTCATTGGTGGAGGTCTTAAATTTTTTCCTCCGTATCCAATCTGCTTATTCAGTGCTATTTGGTTATTATCCCAAGACCCTAAATTTATATACACTTACTGTTAAAGCCCCACAAGCTGATTGATTATGCACAACACGCATTCTCCAGAACATGCATTTTCCAGCAGTTACTGTTTTCCCCCAGGTGAAGATTTATTTGTCCTATAGAGAAATGAGTGGCTGTATGTATGCATGTGTGTTACTACATAATGCAGGATTAATTTGAAAATTGCATGGAGGTCTGAATGTGCATTATGCAAAATGCAAAAGCTGGTTGTATTATGAGCATTTGAGTTAACATGCCTGCATACAGAAATGTTCAGGGAATTTGTGGTTCAGTTCAAGTGACACCAGGATTGAGCCTTTTAAAAACAGACCATTCCCAGAATAATGATTCTATAATTTATTCAGAGTCAGACATCTAGTACTGCTGAATTTTGTGTTAAATAACCCAATTGGTATATATGAAAATAGCTTCCTTGGAATCAGCCCAACTGTATAATCTTGGCCTCGGCAAATACTTAAAGAGGGTAGAGGGGATGTTTAGCATACATTTGGCTATATATTCAACTCTGGTAAGTAATAGAGGGGAATTATTCTCAGATACATGGCTGTCTTCAGATGGTGTTTGGAATCTCATTCTGGCTCCCCTCTGACCACTCAGCACACCCAGGATCCCCTTTTACTTTCTTTGTCTAAGTGAGCTAGGAATAGAGACTCATTTTCATGATTTTTCTAAGCATGGCATAATTGCCACGGGAAATTGGCATGGCTTCACAAAATAAGCCGTGGCTTCACATTGGCTCCTAAAGAGTAGGCTGGAGAGGCCTGAGTGGGTCAGACCAAGGTAACCCTGGCACAGTGCTGGTCACACAGAATACAGCAGTGATTGGTAGTGTTGGGACCTAACATCACCATGACTAACACAGACCTATATGACCCTCAGATAGCAGAGTAATGCAGTATTGCTCCCAGTGTGAGGATGGGCTGCGTGCAGCCATGACACTGTTCACACTGTGTCTCCCTAAAGGTTTTATGTCATCTCTGGCAGGAGCCACATGGAGATCAGAGTCGAGAATGACCTTGACCTGTCCTATGTGTTGTCAACTCTCATGTCCCACTTACGGGTAATGGGAAAGCAGAATGTTGGAGTGTTGGGTTTGGGGATCCAGGTCAGCATGACAGAAATCATGCTACCGACAGAGCCAACAATGCTGAAGGGGTCATAGGTTTATAGGGCAGCAGCTTCTTTGGAAGTTAAAAGCAATAAAACCACAAGGCACTTATGCAAGGAGAGTATCTTCAGGGTTTGTGTCTCCATACCTGCATAGGCTACTCATATCATTTAGCATCAGAAATGTGCTTGTTCAGTGACAAGTGTTAGGCTTCAGGAAAGCTTTTTGGATTTATAGTTGTGAGATGTCAAAGAACATTCTTGTCAGAGTTTTTCCCCTGCCTCCCCAGTAGAAAGGGAAAGAAACCTGTTCATCTTGCCTATATGGCATGATGCTGAGGACTGGGATATTGAACATGACTCGGAAACAGCTCAAGTTTGCTGCTTGAGATTTGGGTTTTTCATTATTTCCCATTCTTGAATCCTGTTGAATAAATAGAGAATCAGATGGCTCCTATTCTCATAATGGTTTTGTGAGTAGGGATTGATAATCCTGGTTTTAAAGATGAGAAAACAAGAGGCTCAGAGAAGTTGGTGTACAGAGCTAACAAGTGATGGAGCTCAGGACTCCTGAGTCCAAGAGCAGGGCTCTTTTCTGTGGCTGGGAGTTCTGGCTCCTAAAACTGGCCCCAACTGTGGAGGATAGGACATCTTACTCCTTTCTTCTTTGTGTTTCTGAATCCTAGAGAGTGTGCTGAAATAGAATTTTCAAAAATTCATTTGTAAAGGTCACCCTTAAAAAGGGTTGAACTATAGGTGCATTCTCGGGAGCATAGTCTGATTATTTTTTCTTTTCATTAAAAGAGCAAACATAATACAAGGGCCTTTTGTTTGCAGCTTTGGAATTTAGCCAATTATAAATACATTTAAGGGGATTCGGATCCAACTCAAGCTCTTAATCAGAGCATTTGGAAGCTCTTGGATAGAAGGTATATTTAATCTCTTTCTAGGTCAGCTGGATATCCCTGCATAGCTATTAGTTTAGACAAGACAAGCTTTGGAGCCCTTCTTTGCTTATAATGTGTTGTGGGTGATGTTTGGGAGTGAGCTAGAGGCACATGGACCTGAGGCAGGCCTATAATTTATGAATTTATTTGCTTCATGGCATACTCCTTCCTTAGTTTGTCCATGAGGGGCAAATATAATTTTTAACATATTCTCATATTATAAATTTAGTAAGGGAAAGAGAAGACTCATCAGCTATATGAAATTTCACTTTTTAAATATATTGGAAAGCTGTAGATAATTGCCAGGAGCCACACAATCTCATCCCTAGGGGGAGAGAGGAACCAGCTCAGAATGGAGCCTGGAGTAATTGTGACTCTGATCACAGGAGAAAGAGAACACTTGGTAAGAATTCCTCTAGTTGAATCTCCATAAAGGCTGAAACCCCCAAAGTTCTGGGTCTGTCTTCTGTGCATGGCAAATGCCCCTACTCATCTCTCCAGACTCAGCAGAATTATTGCCTCTCCACAGGGGCAGTGATCAGCCTCTGGTCTACAGTTGGGAGTTAGATGGCATATCTGTCAAGATCCAGTCTGGAAAACAGAGACTATACTAGGTATTTAAGCAGCAGGGATTTGATATGGGGAATTACACAAGTATTAGAAAGCTGAAAGAGCAAAAAGGGACACTGAGGCATCCCAGATATGAGTAACTGTAGAAAGCAGTTACTGCCCCTAGGGTTGGGAAACACAAGGGAAGAAGTGCATCACTAGAATCTAAGATCTCAGAGAAGAGGCCCCTGGCAGCTGTGCTTAGGCCTCTGAAGGGTACCCTGCGGCTTACGATGGAACCTCAGAGCAGGGGGACTGCGCAGCCAGCTCTCAGACCCCAAGGGAGGTGAGTGCTGTTGAGGTTGAGAGTGTCGGTAGAAGCTGGAGGCTGGACCCACTGCTGCCTTCTAGGGCTGGAGGGACATTGACAAGAACTGGAAATAGGAAGGAAGTTCAGTTGTCCTCTTCTCCTGCTACACTGCAATAGGAATTGCTCAGAATTGAGATGCAAAACAAGCATAGTCATAGGGCCTAGACCATCCCAGAGAGGATCATGGAAAACCTGGGCATCCAAGTAAGTAAAGCAGCCCTGGTGGCCTCTAGGCCAGGGCTTGGTTGTCAGTAAGGGCAACCCAGGAAAGGGGCTAATGGAGCTGGAGGTGGGGGCCCACAGGAGTCCTGAGTCCTGACCTTGAGAGGCCCAGAAATGGTGTGGCTGAGGCTAATTCATCATCCATCCTGACTGACTCTGAACTGAAGGAAAGCCTAGCTGTCAAGAGCTGGAGGAAGTAATTGGAATAGATGCTGGATACACATCAGCCACTCTATCATGACATTTCCAAGAGAGAAGTCTCAATGAGAAAAGCCTTGCCCACCCCAAGTAGTATTAAATGGGTGGGTGGATGGGATGATAGATGGAATAGAGGGGATTGGAAGAGAGAGAACAGGGAGTAGAGATAGGAATAAAGGAAGGAAGGAAAGAAAGAATGGAGGAATCAAAACAAATTCTTATCTCTAGCTCTCTAGCCGAAGGGTCTTAAGAGTGAAAATAGAAGTAGCATACAGCCTTTCCTGTAGGTGGTGGCTCACTATGAACCCCTTGCAGAGATTATGATGCCAGTAGTAAAGAAGTTGGTTTTTATTTCCTCGCTTAATAAAGATTCAGAAACAGTGAAATTTGAGCTGCTACAGAGGGCAGAACCCGGGGCCCACTGTGTTCTTTGAGCACAGAGCCCAGCGTGTGAGCACCTGGAGACATCAAGGTGCCCGGCCATTGTAAACTGCTCCCAGCCAAGCAGGCAGTCCCAGGCCTGGCCCTGCCTATGGAGGCTCCCGCAACTCAGTGCCCTTGCCTGTGCCCTCCAAGGGGGCTGCAGAACACCCTTCAGGCTGGTGCAGTATTAACTGCCTCACTCGTGTAGATCTATAAGAAAAAGGCAGCAGCCTGTAAGAAGAATGGGGAAAGGGTACAGAGAGTTCTCAGAAAAAGGAAATGCAAATGTCTCTGAAGCAAATGAGAAGACACTCAACCTCACTCTGCAAAAGAGAAATGCAAATTGAAAGTAGGACAAGGTACTACACCAGGTTGGCATAGATCAAAAATTTTACCTCATAGATTCCTGTAGAAGTATAAAGTGCCAGCTCCTCTAGAGAGAGCAGTTTGGCAGTATCTCTCAAAAGTGACCCGGCAGTTCCACTTCTAGGACTTTGACATCCAGACATAATTTCACACATGTGAAATGAAATATACAAGGATATCCATTGTAATAGCAAAAGATTGGAATAGACATAAATGTCCACTGGAGGCCACCAGGTGAATCACTTACGGCATATCCATTCTGCAGAATTCTACTAAGCCATTAGAAAGATCAAAACAGCTTTATACATACATACATACATACATACATGGGACAATTCCAAAGATATAGAACCTTAAAAAATAGGAAGGAACAGTGTGTGTAGTACTTAGGTTCAAAAACAATACATATTTTAGAATGAAAAGTCAACTACCAGCTGGGTGCAGTGGCTCACACCTGTAATCCCAGCACTTTGGGAGGCTGAGGCCGGCAGATAGCTTGAGCCCAGGAGTTTGAGACCAGCCTTGGCAAAAAATCATACAAAAGTTATCTGGATGTGATGGTGCATCCCTGTGCTCCCAGCTACTTGGGGGAGAGGGGTGCTGAGGTGGGAGAATTGCTTGAGCCTAAGAAGTTGAGGCTGTAGTGAGCTGAGATCGCACCACTGCATTCCAGCCTGGGTGACAGAGCGAGACCCTGTCTCAAAAAAAAAAAAAAAAAGTTAAATACCATTTAATGTGTATGTTTCTGTGTACATACAATATTTGTGGGAGGATAAACAAGGAAATGGGAACAGGAGATGCCTATAAGGGGAGGAACTGAGGGATTAGACAGAGGAGTGAGGGGAGATTTCCTTTTCCCTGCCTACCCTTTGGTACCTTTTGTATTTTATATTATGCATTATCTGGTCAAAAAGAGATTAAATTTTTTGAAAAAAATCTTAGTCATGCTGGAGGCCAGAGCAGCTGAGGTGCTGGGGCAGGAGCTGGAGGGCAGACCTTCTGCTTGTTGAGGGAGGGTCTTCATGGAGGATGGAAACCACCAGAAGGTGTGCCTGTGACAGTGGAATAGTGTGACGGGAATAGTGTGACAGTGGAATACTGTGATGGGAATAGTGTGACAGTGGAATAGTGTGACGGGAATAGTGTGACAGTGGAATAATGTGAAAGTGGAATAGTGTGACAGTGGAATAGTGTGATGGGAATAGTGTGACAGTGGAATAGTGTGACGGGAATAGTGTGACAGTGGAATGGTGTGACGGGAATAGTGTGACAGTAGAATAGTGTGAAAGTGGAATAGTGTGACAGTGGAATAGTGTGACAGTGGAATAGTGTGACGGGAATAGTGTGACAGTGGAATAGTGTGACGGGAATAGTGTGACGGGAATAGTGTGACAGTGGAATAGTGTGACGGGAATAGTGTGACGGGAATAGTGTGACAGTGGAATAGTGTGACAGTGGAATAGTGTGACGGGAATAGTGTGACAGCGGAATAGTGTGAAAGTGGAATAGTGTGACAGTGGAATAGTGTGACAGTGGAATAGTGTGATGGGAATAGTGTGACAGTGGAATAGTGTGACAGTGGAATAGTGTGATGGGAATAGTGTGACAGTGGAATAGTGTGAAAGTGGAATAGTGTGAGAGTGGAATAGTGTGACGGGAATAGTGTGACAGTGGAATAGTGTGAAAGTGGAATAGTGCGAAAGTGGAATAGTGTGACAGTGGAATAGTGTGATAGTGGAATAGTGTGATGGGAACAGTGTGACGGGAATAGTGTGATGGGAATAGTGTGACAGTGGAATAGTGTGACGGGAATAGTGTGACAGTGGAATAGTGTGAAAGTGGAATAGTATGACAGGAACAGTGTGACGGGAATAGTGTGATGGGAATAGTGTGACAGTGGAATAGTGTGACGGGAATAGTGTGACAGTGGAATAGTGTGACGGGAATAGTGTGACTGGAATAGTGTGACAGTGGAATAGTGTGACGGGAACAGTGTGACAGTGGAATAGTGTGACAGTGGAATAGTGTGATGGGAATAGTGTGACAGTGGAATAGTGTGATGGGAATAGTGTGACAGCGGAATAGTGTGACAGCGGAATAGTGTGACAGCGGAATAGTGTGACAGTGGAATAGTGTGATGGGAATAGTGTGACAGTGGAATAGTGTGATGGGAATAGTGTGACAGTGGAATAGTGTGAAAGTGGAATAGTGTGACAGTGGAATAGTGTGACAGTGGAATAGTGTGACGGGAATAGTGTGACGGGAATAGTGTGACAGTGGAATAGTGTGAAAGTGGAACAGTGTGAAAGTGGAATAGTGTGACAGTGGAATAGTGTGATAGTGGAATAGTGTGACGGGAACAGTGTGACGGGAACAGTGTGATGGGAACAGTGTGACAGTGGAATAGTGTGACGGGAATAGTGTGACAGTGGAATAGTGTGAAAGTGGAATAGTATGACAGGAACAGTGTGACGGGAATAGTGTGATGGGAATAGTGTGAAAGTGGAATAGTGTGACAGTGGAATAGAGTGACAGTGGAACAGTGTGATGGGAACAGTGTGACGGGAATAGTGTGATGGGAATAATGTGACAGTGGAATAGTGTGACGGGAACAGTGTGACGGGAACAGTGTGACAGTGGAATAGTGTGACGGGAATAGTGTGACAGTGGAACAGTGTGAAAGTGGAATAGTGTGATGGGAACAGTGTGACGGGAATAGTGTGATGGGAATAGTGTGACAGTGGAATAGTGTGACAGTGGAATAGTGTGAAAGTGGAATAGTGTGACAGTGGAATAGTGTAACAGTGGAACAGTGTGATGGGAACAGTGTGACGGGAATAGTGTGATGGGAATAGTGTGACAGTGGAATAGTGTGATGGGGAATAGTGTTACAGTGGAATAGTGTGACGGGAACAGTGTGATGGGAATAGTGTGACAGTGGAATAGTGTGACAGTGGAACAGTGTGACGGGAACAGTGTGACGGGAATAGTGTGATGGGAATAGTGTGACAGTGGAATAGTGTGATGGGAACAGTGTGACGGGAATAGTGTGATGGGAGTAATGTGACAGTGGAACAGTGTGACGAACAGTGTGACGGGAATAATGCGACGGGAATAGTGTGACAGTGGAGTAGTGTGATGGGAATAGTGTGACAGTGGAATAGTGTGATGGGAACAGTGTGATGGGAATAGTGTGATGGGAATAGTGTGACAGTGGAATAGTGTGACGGGAATAGTGTGACAGTGGAATAGTGTGATGGGAACAGTGTGACGGGAATAGTGTGACAGTGGAATAGTGTGACAGTGGAACAGTGTGACGGGAACAGTGTGACGGGAATAGTGTGATGGGAATAGTGTGACAGTGGAATAGTGTGACGGGAATAGTGTGACAGTGGAATAGTGTGACAGTGGAACAGTGTGATGGGAAAAGTGTGACGGGAATAGTGTGACAGTGGAATAGTGTGACAGTGGAACAGTGTGACGGGAATAGTGGGACGGGGAATAGTGTGACAGGAATAGTGTGACAGTGGAATAGTGTGACAGTGGAACAGTGTGACAGTGGAATAGTGTGACAGTGGAACAGTGTGACAGTGGAACAGTGTGATGGGAAAAGTGTGACGGGAATAGTGTGATGGAATAGTGTGACAGTGGAATAGTGTGATGGGAATAGTGTGACAGTGGAATAGTGGGACAGGAATAGTGTGACGGGGAATAGTGTGATGGGAATAGTGTGACAGGAATAGTGTGACAGCGGAATAGTGTGACTGGAATAGTGTGACACCGGAATAGTGTGACACCGGAATAGTGTGACAGGAATAGTGTGACAGCAGAATAGTGTGATGGGAATAGTGTGACAGCAGAATAGTGTGACAGCAGAATAGTGTGGCAGCGGAATAGTATGACCGGAATAGTGTGACAGCAATAGTGTGACAGCAGAATAGTGTGACGGGAATAGTGTGACACAGAATAGTGTGGCAGCAGAATAGTATGACCGGAATAGTATGATGGGAATAGTGTGACGGGAATAGTGTGACCGGAATAGTGTGACCGGAATAGTGTGACGGGGAATAGTGTGATCGGAATAGTGTGACGGGGAATAGTGTGATGGGAACAGTGTGACAGGGGAATAGTGTGACGGGAATAGTGTGACGGCGGAATAGTGTGATGGTGGAATAGTGTGACAGAATAGTGTGATGGGAATAGTGTGACGGGAATAGTGTGGCGGCGGAATAGTGTGACGGTGGAATAGTGTGATGGGGAATAGTGTGACAGCAGAATAGTGTGACGGGAATAGTGTGACGGGAATAGTGTGATGGGAATAGTGTGACGGCGGAATAGTGTGACGGTGGAATAGTGTGACGGGGAATATAGTGTGACAGCAGAATAGTGTGATGGGAATAGTGTGACAGCGGAATAGTGTGACGGGAATAGTGTGACGGTGGAATAGTGTGATGGGGAATAGTGTGACAGCAGAATAGTGTGATGGGAATAGTGTGACGGGAATAGTGTGATGGGAATAGTGTGACAGCAGAATAGTGTGACGGGAATAGTGTGATGGAATAGTGTGACGGTGGAATAGTGTGACGGGAGTAGTGTGACAGGAATAGTGTGACAGCAGAATAGTGTGACAGCAGAATAGTGTGATGGGAATAGTGTGACAGTGGAATAGTGTGACAGCAGAATAGTGTGATGGCGGAATAGTGTGATGGGAGTAGTGTGACAGTGGAATAATAGTGAGCCATGGTTGGCCTTTCCCTTCATGCACTGGCGACCAATAGAATCAAGGCAGTCCCCATTTCTACACGTCCTTAGCCCTGTCTGTTCCTGTGTCCTCTCCACCGGCTCTCAGTGTTCTAGAACCCACACCATGAATGCCTGGGTCCCTCCCTCCACTAAACTGTAGCTCTCCAAGGGCAGAAGCCAGTTCTGTCATCCCATGTGCCCTGGCTCTTGGCATAGTGCCCAGCACACAGAAAAGGCATAATAAATGTTGAATGAATCATTCATTAACATCAGGAAACACCCTGGGGTTCTGATTTATTGTTTTACATCAGATTCTTTTCTCCCTACCCCAACTGAAAGGCAGCCTTTTAATCGCTGGTATCCCAGCACTTAGCCTACTGCTCTGTATATAGTAGGAGCTCAATAAGTGTTGAATGATGAGAGTCGCATGATGGTTAGTTTATCTTCAGATCAGATTGTTCCCAGCCAAATGGCAAGAACAGAGCCATATCTTCCCCATGGAATGAGTACAGTGCAGCCCCTAGGAAGGAGGTGGGAGGCTCTGCAATGGGAAGGGTTCCAACAGCCTAGGTCAGTACTCCTCCCAAGGGTGATGTCAGAGATGTACCAGGGGCACAGGGAGGGTACTATCACAGTTCCTTCTTTGGACATCACCTCAAGCTCCAGTTTTTGGGACACGGGAAGAAATTCAGATCTAAGCCATAGGGCTGACCCTTGTAGGCACTACCCCATCACTTTAGAGGAATCAGAGAAAGCCCATTGAAGGAGGCTGGTTCCACGTCCCGAACTGACCCAAAACCAAAGAAGCATCTGGAAACTCTGCAAGGACTCCATCATGTAAATATTGTGCTCTGAGGTCACAAACATAACCAGCCAGAAGCTGCGGCAGCTGAGGCCCCTTCCCCGGAGGCCAACAATTAACCCCATGTAAAGATTACCAGGAAGAGAATAAATAGCTGGGAAAAGTTTCCCAAAGGATCCCAGCCTCCCTGCCACTCCAGCTGCCTGAACAGAAAGCATGGAGGAGGCAGGGAGGGTGCTAATGCCTCATTAGTGATTGTCGCAATCACTGAGATCCTGGCTGTCTTGACTGGCTTCTCCTCTGATCCATGTCAATGGCGCCCTGTTCTGTCTCCTCTGACCCTGTAGACAATTGGTTACTGGTGTTTGATTCTGAGCAGATCAGCCAGTGAAGAGGAAATTCTTCCCTGTGAGCTCCTGCAAAGTGTAGGAAATTTAGGCAGCCCAGTGAGCAGGGCTGCTGTGAGAGGAACTCTTGCTGGAGGTGCAGAGGATACCCATCCCAGCCTGGGCTCGGAGCACCCACCAGGACTTGCCTGTTGTCCTGGGCAGACCTGCCGTTGATTGTGGCAACAGAGGTTCCCTCAGAGCAGGGTCTGTAAGGCACAAAAACGTCTTTCTCTGTAACCGAAGTGGAAAAAATGTATCTGAGTCACTTTATACGTCAGGTAAATATCCTCATGAGTACGTCATTTAAAAATTTGCCATTTCCTCTGACGTTTCCACAGTTTGCTAGAACACTGCCTTCTGCTCCAGTTACAGACAAATGCCCCTCCTCTCCCTGCTTCTGCAGTGGTCTTTTAGCTTATTCCTTGGACTGACTTTCTGGGGGGAGGTAAGGATGATTTGAAGACCTATATTTTATAGGACTGTAACCTCTTAGAATTACAAGGGACCTTTGTAGGGATCATCTGGTCCCGCCTTCTCTCGGAGGCAGATATCTGCAATGGATGCCTTCCTAACAGCTTCCCAAACTGCCCAGATGCTGAGTGATTCCAAACAAAGATGCCCACTTTCTGTTCGGAGGCTCTAAATGTTATATGTTCCTTTTGACAGTAGCCAAAATCCATCTCCTGTCACTTCCATCCATTGGTCTTGGTTCTGCCTTCTAGAGTGACATAGACTAAGTCCATTTCCCTTTCCAGGTGACCTCATGGTCTTTTTCTAGGCTACACTTTTATTTATCTTCATGTCCCCATGTGGAGCCCTTCTAGACCTCCCATAGAAGAGCCCTTCTAGACCTACATAGAGGAAGTGGCGGCTGTGTGACAGTGTCACTTGTACGGCATGGCACCTGGAGCCACTCAGCCTAGCTGGAGTCCACAGTCACGCATGTGCTTTCTCTTACCCTCAGGCTGAGCACACATACCCCCCCCGTCCCCCTGCCCTTTGAGCCTCTTGTTTCCCATGTGGCCTGAGATGACAGCAGCAGTGATCATGGCTCCTCTCCAGGGCCAGGCAGCCGTGCTCATCCCCTGCTCCCCAATGGCTCCATAGCCTTATGCTCCTGCAGGGGAAGTGGGTCACGCCAGGAAGAGCAGCTATAGCGTGAGACAGCCCAGTGCCTCTCCGCTCACCGTCAGCAGAGAACCCTTGGTCGCCAGGGTTTCCACGTGGGTTTGATGGAGGAAGGGTAGAGATGTGGGGTCTTCTGTATTCCTTTTCTCTGCCCTGAACAGTGATATAAGAGCCCTTGCCCCATCCCCAGGCAGCTCTCATGCTTCTTTAGCAGAGAGGGCCCCCAGACTCCCTGACATCCCAGTGGGCCTCTCCCTGTGATGCCTCTTCCTGGTGCCCAGGACCCCCTAAATGCCCTGTGCTTCCAAGGCATGGCAAACTGCTTCCCCTCCAGGGGCTGGCTGCTGGGGTAGATGTGGACAGCGCCACCACTGTAGCATCTCTGAGCTTGGATGCCTCTACCTGTGTTCCCCACACCCCTTCTTGTACAGGACCTAGGAGATGAGATGCCTTTTCCAAATATCATTTGTAAATGTTGGAGCCACATTTTTTTCCAAACTAATATCAGAACTGTTCTGTGCTCCAGTCAAGTTCTTTTTGAAGAAGGTAGCTCAGGTGGTTAAAATGAGCACTAGTGAGACCAAATCTATGGCCTCAGGAGCCTTCATGAGAAATGGCTCCACAGCCACCTACTGCACCACAGGCACAGCCTGGCCTGCTCTTAGGCAGGAGGACCAGGGGAGACAGTGGGGATGCCTCTGGACAACCTAGTCCACTCCTGGATGAAGAGCAGCAGCTGCTGCTGGAAGATTATGCACAGAAAACTCTTGCTCCACAATACCTCCAGCTTTCAACCAGTCCCAATCTTCAGTGTGTTGATGAGCAAAATAGACTGCAGTCACAGTGGGCACATGGAGGTGAGAACAAAGGCATCTTTGACAGGCAGGAACATTTCCTTCCCCTTCCAGAGCAGTGGCTGGCAATCCTAGCTCATCATCGCTTCTGAGAGCTCTGGGAAGAGCTGCTGTGGCCATGGCTGCTGCCCCCGGGAACTTGGCTTTATCATTCTGTTCTTTGCTCAGAAATTCAAGTCAAGTAATTTAGAATTCTTTATCCAACAACTGCTCTAGGAAAAGAACATGTCAGAAGCATTTGCTGACATCACCTTTGAGATGTTCACGTAGTTTAGGCATCACTCTCTTTCCTTTCCCTTTCAGCTCTTTATGGCATTTTCATTTGGTGGTGGTAGAAGAGTGGGTGTGTGGAGTGCATTCCTGCCCTTCCCTCCCTTGGTAAGTCCAGGTGTTTAGGGCCAGTGTGCGCCAGATGCCTCTTCTCCCAGGCACTTCCACAAGTGTAGAGGATGCCTAGACTGTGGGCACTTCCGTCAATTGACTATGTTGCACAGGCTTGGAAAATGAGGGCCAAATGTACACAGAGGTTGTGGTCTTGATCAGAGGTTTTGCCACAACTATTATTTTTAATGGCCTGAAGCATGGATCTGGCAGTCTTATGAATGGGTACTCTGAAGTCAACCCTGTGTTCCTTCAGTCTCGTCTTTGTTTATTCATTGACCATTTTACCATGCATGCCCTGGTTCTAGGGACGTAGGAAGAAAGAAGGCAAGTTCATAGGCTCTCAGACCGGGTTCTACCTCCCATCAAAGGAGGAATCTCCTCCCTTATGTTCCGGCCCACATGCTGTCCTGCCCCTGCCCAAGGAAGCTCAGTCTCTCGAGCTTTCATTGGGTGTCCAGTGGCCCAAGTGTCCCTTTTCCTCCCAGCATCTACTCTTTCCTCCCAGCCCTGCCCCTGAGGGTGCTCAGACCTCTTGACATCACTCTTCTAAAGTAGACTTTTATATATTTGCAGCAACTATCTTGTCTTCTGCAGAGTCTTATCATTCCCAGGTAGATATAAGTTCATCCATCAACTGCTACTTCCATATCATGTTCCCTCACTTCTGCCACTCCATATTTGTATAGTTGGATTAAAAAACAAAATCTGAGTTCAAGTCCTGGATATCCTTGTTAACCTTCTGTCTCATTGATCTGTCTAATATTGACATTGGGGTGTTCTGTACCAAGCAGACCTAATAGACATCTACAGAACTCTCTACCCCAAATCAACAGAATATACATTCTTCTCAGCACCACACTGCAATTATTCCAAAACTGACCACATAGTTGGAAGTGAAGCACTCCTCAGCAAATGTAAAAGAAGAGAAATCACAACGAACTGTCTCTCAGACCACAGTGCAATCAAATTAGAACTCAGGATTAAGAAACTCACTCAAAACCGCACAACTACATGGAAACTGAACAACTTGCTCCCGAATGACTACTGGGTAAATAACGAAATGAAGGCAGAAACAAAGATGTTCTTTGAAACCAGTGAGAACAAAGACACAACGTACCAGAATCTCTGGGACACATGTAAAGCAGTGTATAGAGGGAAATTTATAGCACTAAATGCCCACAAGAGAAAGCAGGAAAGATCTAAAATCGACATCCTAACATCACAATTAAAAGAACTAGAGAAGCAAGAGCAAACACATTCAAAAGCTAGCAGAAGGCAAGAAATAACTAAGATCAGAGCAGAACTGAAGGAGATAGAGACACAAAAAACCCTTCAAAAAATCAATGAATCCAGGAGATGGTTTTTTGAAAAGATCAACAAAATTGATAGGCCACTAGCAAGACTAACAAAGAAGAAAACAGAAGAATCAAATAGATGCAATAACAAATGATAAAGGGGATATCACCACTGATTCCACAGAAATACAAACTACCATCAGAGAATACTATAAACACCTCTATGCAAATAAACTAGAAAATCTAGAAGAAATAAATTCCTGATACATACACTCTCCCAAGACTAAACCAGGAAGAAGTTGAATCTCTGAATAGACCAATAACCGGCTCTGAAATTGAGGCAATAATTAATAGCCTCCCAACCAAAAAAAGTCCAGGACCAGACAGATTCACCAGAGGTACAAAAAGGAGCTGGTACCATTCCTTCTGAAACTATTCCAATCAATAGAAAAAGAGGGAATCCCCCCTAACTCATTTTATGAGGCTAGCATCATCCTGATATCAAAGCCTGCCAGAGACACAACAAAAAAAGAGAATTTTAGACCAATATCCCTGATGAACATTGATTTGAAAATCCCCAATAAAATACTGGCAAACCAAATCCAGCAGCACATCAAAAAGCTTCTCCACCACGATCAAGTCAGCTTCATCTCTGGGATGCAAGGCTGGTTCAACGTATGCAAATCAATAAATGTAATCCAGCATATAAACAGAACCAATGACAAAAACCACATGATTATCTCAATAGATGCAGAAAAGGCCTTTGACAAAATTCAACAGCCCTTCATGCCAAAAACTCTCAATAAAATAGGTATTGATGGAATGTATTTCAAAATAATAAGAGCTATTTATGACAAACCCACCACCAATATCATACTGAATGGGCAAAAACTGGAAGCATTTCCTTTGAAAACTGGCACAAGACAGGGGTGCTGTCTGTCACCACTCCTATTCAACATAGTGTTGGAAGTTCTGGCCAGGGCAATCAGGAGAAAGAAATAAAGGGTATTCAATTAGGAAAAGAGGAAGTCAAATTGTCCCTGTTTGCAGAAGACATGATTGTATATTTAGAAAACCCCATTGTCTCAGCCGAAAATCTCCTTAAGCTGATAAGCAACTTCAGCAAAGTCTCAGGATACAAAATCAATGTGCAAAAATCACAGCATTCCTATACACCAATAACAGACAAACAGAGAGCGAAATCATGAGTGAACTCCCATTCACAATTGCTTCAAAGAGAATAAAATACCCAGGAATCCAACTTACAAGGGATGTGAAGGACCCCTTCAAGGAGAACTACAAACCACTGCTCAACGAATTAAAAGGGGACATAAACAAATGGAATAACATTCCATGCTCATGGATAGGAAGAATCAATATTGTGAAAATTGCCATACTGCCCAAGGTAATTTATAGATTCAGTGCCATCCCCATCAAGGTACCAATGACTTTCTTCACAGAATTGGAAAAAACTACTTTAAAGTTCATATGGAACCAAAAAAGAACCCTCATTGCCAAGACAATCCTAAGCCAAAAGAACAAAGCTGGAGGCATCACGCTACCTGACTTCAAACTATAAGACAAGACTACAGTAGCCAAAACAGCATGGTACTGGTACCAAAACAGAGATATAGACCAATGGAACAGAACAGACACCTCAGAAATAACACCACACATCTATAACCATCTGATGTTTGACAAACCCGACAAAAACAAGATATAGGGAAAGGATTCCCTATTTAATAAATGGTGCTGGGAAAACTGGCCAGCCATATGTAGAAAGCTGAAACTGGATCCCTTCCTTACACCTTATACAAACATTAATTCAAGATGGATTAATGACTTAACTGTTAGACCCAAAACCATTAAAAAACCCTAGAAGAAAACCTAGGCAATACCATTCAGGACATAGGCATGGGCAAGGACTTCATGACTAAAACACCAAAAGCAATGGCAACAAAAGCCAAAATTGACAAATGGGATCTAATCAAAGTAAAGAGCTTCTGCACAGCAAAAGAAACTACCATCAGAGTGAACAGGCAACCTACAGAATGGGAGAAAATTTTTGCAATCTACCCATCTGACAAAGGGCTAATATCCAGAATCTACAATGAACTCAAACAAATTTACAAGAAAGAAAAAACCCCATCAAAAAGTGGACAAAGGATAGGAACAGACACTTCTCAAACGAAGACATTTATGCAGCCAACAGACACATGAAAAAATGCTCATCATCACAATGCAAATCAAAACCACAATGAGATACCATCTCACACCAGTTAGAATGACAATCACTAAAAAGTCAGGAAACAACAGATGCTGGAGAGGATGTGGAGAAACAGGAACACTTTTACACTTTTGGTGGGAGTGTAAACTAGTTCAACCATTGTGGAAGACAGTGTGGTGATTCCTCAAGGATCTAGAACTAGAAATACCATTTGACCCAGCCATCCCATTACTGGGTATATACCCAAAGGATTACAAATCATGCTGCTATAAAGACACATGCACACGTATGTTTATTGCGGAACTATTCACAATAGCAAAAACTTGGAACCAACCCAAATGTCCATCAATGATAGACTGGATTAAGAAAAGGTGGCATATGTATACCATGGAATACTATGCAGCCATAAAAAAGGATGAGTTCATGTCCTTTGTAGGGACATGGATGCAGCTGGAAACCATCATTCTGAGCAAACTATCACCGTAAACACCACATGTTCTCACACACAAGGGCCTGTTGGCAGGTGGGTGGCAGGGGGAGGGTAGCATTAGGAGAAATACCTAATGTAAATGACGAGTTAATGGGTGCAGCAAACCAACATGGCACATGTATACATATGTAACAAACCTGCATGTTGTGCACAGGTACTGTAGAACTTAAAGTATAATTTAAAAAAATTTAAAAAATTAATAAAATAAAATCTGCTAAGTTTAGCTGTTTTTATCTTATTCAATTTTAACTTATTAGTGTTAGTTCATCCTCACAGCCTACCTAGTTTTTGGAAATCCTGTCTCTGTTATCTTTGTTGTCACTGAGCCTTTTGTCATCTGCACAATTGGATCCCAGAGCTGTGGAGCTGAACATAAGTTGTAGGGGAGGAGCGTGGTGGCCCCAGAGTTTGCCCTCAGCCTTCGGTGGCACCTTCACATAAGGCCTCAAATGAAGACGCAGACTGCCTATGGCAAGAATCCAGGCTGCCTGTCTGAATGCTAAGCACACAGTAGGTGCTTCATAAATATGGATGTGGGTGAGCGGTTGTCAGGGGTGTCTGACAAGAAGCCTGATTCGTGGTGTGCCATCCCTGTTTCAGGAAAGTGACTTCTGTGAGCTCATTTGCTAGGCAGCGTCCACTGTGTTTTATAGTGTGGTCATGAATTAATAATGCACAACACTCCTAATTAGGCTGGAATAAAAACACAGGTTAAAGAAGAGAAACAGCTGGGGAAGTGTGTTATGACTGTGCAGCCTCTGGCTCCAGGGGCCTGATTTGGGGTATAGCAACCACTGCAGTGGACAGTTTTCTGGAAAGCAGGTCCCCTACCTAGTTGTCCCTGGAGAGAGAAAATATTTGTTTTTTTTCAGCACCCCTTCTGCTTGTGCTGTCAGAATAAGAAAAAGTGGCTCTGGCTAGTTCTCCTCCCCACTCCCTGCATTTCAGGTGGAATGATTTTACTTCATGGAAGTGAGTGCTTTAGTAAGTGCTTGCCTGCAGAGCTTGCATCGGGAGTTAGGGAAGGATGAAAAATGCAGTAGAAGTTGGCCTCATCAGGATGTGAAATTGACTGTGAACAGTGTGATTTATTAAAGACAACTGTTTGTGCTGGTTAAAATGTGCACTCAGCTCCTAGCAAGGATCTCTTGCTCAGAATGGAGGAAGCTCCCTGAGGGTGGTCCCAGCTGCCCCTTCCTCTGTCTCTCCTTGCCAAATCCTCTTGCAGGCTCAGCCCTTAGCAGGGGCCATATAATTGTGGCTTTAACAGTTTTAATAAAGGGTCATGCAGGCACTGGGAACATGCTCTTCAATGCTCACAGTCTAAATTAGGCACTAACCAAGACAAAGGATATAAGCGTGCTCATCTATGCTTTCTCTGTCTCCCACCACAGCGACAAGAAAGGGCGGCCCCAGGAGATGGGGGGACCGAGTGAGTGAGTGCTAGCTGAGGTCTGAAAACACCATCCTGAAGCTTCTCCCTCTCTGTTACCTTGAGCACCTGGAGTAGGGGGATGAAATGAGATTTGAAGGCCAAGGATTTAAAGGAAAAGAATCCTGGCCAGCAACGTTCACCATGTGACCTGAAGCAAGCTGCTGCTGTCTGAGCTTCAATGGTCAAGTGTACTGTGGAGCCACACAGCCTTGAGTTCTAATGTCCAATGAGCGTTTAGACCTTGGGAAAGCTACTTCTCCGAGCCTTAGTTTCCGTATCTACTAAATGGGGCTGGTGACACCTGTGTGATAAGGTGGTTGTGAGAATGAGGGATGTACCCAGCCAAGCCACATGTAATGCTCAGTAAATGTCTGTCTCCTCTGCTCCATGCGTGAGCACCCAATTTAGTAGAATGCCCTTCCCCCTGCAGATTCCCCTACAACAGTAGTTCCCAAAGTGTGGTTCTCAGACCAGCAGCATCCACATCACCTGGAACTTGCTAGAGATGCAGATTCTCAGGCCTACCCCAGATCTACTGGATCAGAAACTGTGGGGTGGGGCCCTGCAGTCTGCGTTTCAGCCTGTCCTCCAGGTGATTCTGATGCAGACTTGCTGTTCTGGGATTTTCTGCTTCAATTTCGAATAGATGACAACCATCTAGTCCTTTCTCCTGAGAGGACGTGAAAGTGAAAGTGACAGCTGACCATTTTTTGAAAAAACTGTGAGGCCTGAACACCGGGGTTTGAGTTCCAGGTATGTAAACTCTGTGAGGGTAAGGAATTATCATTAGAGCCTTAAGGTAGCAAAAGCCTGTTCTTCAAAGCTTCTGTCCATCTCCCCCACGTTTGGAGTTAGATCCAGTGGTTTATAGGCTCAGAAGCCTGAGGCAGCTTTGCTGTTGCTGTGTATCTTTTGATAAGATAACCAGCCCTCTGATGGGAGAAGGCTCCTGCCTCATAGGCTTATTAAGATTAAAACTCTAAATTTAGCTCTGGAGGAAGGTCTGCAGGCTTAGGGCCATTTGATGAATGACTCCATGATATCTCCAGACTGCAACTACTAGAGTAAATAAGATTTAAATACAGCTGCCAAGCCACCTTATCGTTTCCCCCTATCAGATCTGAACATGGTTAAACTAAGTGCTGTCAGTGCCAGCTCAGTGAATGAAGGCAGCAGTGCATAAAGTCATTCTGAATAATTAATGAGATAATGGTTGTGAAGCTGGTGGGATGGTGCAGAGAGTGCCAGGGCAGGGCCAGTGTGTTTCCAGATCCGGTGTCAGCACCCTAGGTCTAGGGTCTGGTGCATGAGGCAGTTCTTTAAGGAAAGAAGCACTCATCCTCCAGTGGCCTCAAAATAGAAAATGCCACCAAAGCAGAGATATGTACATACAGTTAGGGGCTGATATTCAGGATATCTAACAAATGGCAGGGCACAGGCATGGACCAGTGGATCCAAAGAGATGGTGGCAAGTGCAGGAGCAGGCCCTTGGGGCCTCTGCAGAACCACATGTGACCCCTCTTTTTGTAGCAGAAGACAAGTCATGAGGGAGAGGCCAGGACCATGGCTTTTACTCACTCTAGGGTAGCATATCATTCTTTTAATGTCAGGTATAGTCTCTCTGATGCACACCAGCTGAGTGTCAGCCTTGAGGGCACATGCTGAGGCTATGCTCAGGGTCAGTGAGAGAGGCCCCCAAATTCATCAGTCACCAAGTCTTATAAATCCCTCTTTGGCAGCATCTCCTGGAGTCGCCTCTTTCCCTTCATTCTACTTCCCCATTGGATATATCCCTCTCTGAGCCAGCCCATTAGTAAACCCTCTGGAGGTTGAAATTTATCAGTTTCATATTGGTCTTAACCAGGTTGGCTGTGTGGGCTGTTACATGTGCATAGTGCACCCCATGGACGTGGATGGATATGTTGGTGACATTTAAGAATCATATTAGGTTGGTGCAAAAGTAATTGAGGTTTTGCCATTGAAAGTAATGACAAAACTACAATTACTTTTGTTCCAACCTAATATATCCTTCACATTTGCAGACGTAGGCTTTGACCAAGAAGAGTTTGTCTTAGGAGGTGAATCTTGTTTTCTTTACAACCTGGTGGTTCTTAGGAGTGATGGGAATCTCCTCTCTTTCCTTCCTTAGAATGGTTTTGAGTCACTGGGGGGACATTACTCTATGGGACCAGAAAGTAAGAATCTATCATTTTAGCTGAAAGGACCCAAGAGCCAAGCTGGGAAGGTCATAGCGCTGTTCAGCCCTCAGAACTGGGAACCAGAAAGTTGATGACTGCACAGTGGATGAGCCAGAGGGACAGCAGGCAGTGGGGTGCTGGAGCCTCTAGCTAGAAAACTTGCCTTGGTGGAAGGAGGGAGGAAGTTAAGGCAGTATTAATGCTAGATAAATCGTGGATAATGGTAGATTTAAAAAACTAAGGGACAGACATCATTCAGACTGTTTTCCACATAGGACTCAACCTGCCACCCTGGGCTTGGGATGTGGACTCTGGGCCTTTGTGAGGTGATGTGGCTTCAAGCAAGAATATCACTATTGGATTGAAATCAAAACCAAAGTTTGAGAATCTGCTAGCTGGGTGCTCTATGACAAGTTATTTACCTTTCTGAGCCTCAGTTTCTGCCTCTTAAAATGAGAATAGTAATTTCTACCTCAGAGTGTTGTAAGAATTAACTAAGATTGTGTATTCTTTGTTGTAAATGGTGTAGTAGATTGCATATTCTTTGTAGACCATTTGCATGTAGACAGAGACTATGGTGCTGGGTGGCTAGGAAGAAAGCTTCCCTGAAGTTTGTTCATGTGCTGGCCATCAGCCATTGTCTTCTAAAAATGGGTACCAGTAGGATGTGGTCTTTGAAACAGCCCTGTTAGAGACAAGATGGTGGTCACAGACTCGGGAGTGCTGCCCAGCCTGACAGCCAAGTGAGCCTCTGATGGGGTAATTGATAGCTCAGACACAATTCAGCAACTCAATTAACTCATCTCCCATTAGGATGGATTGATTTCTTCCTTGGGATAGGAATTTGTGCTGGTTCAGCAACAGCAGCCTTCCCACTGCTGAATGCATCTGTGTGGTTAAGAAAGCTTTTCCAGTCCTCCTGCCCCACAGAGGCCTCAGGGGAAGAAGGCGTGATTAGGGGAGCCCAGTGTTCAGTCCTACACATGATAAGTCCCCCTGCCCCTAGGAAGATGAAGGACCGAAGGTCCATCATTATTTTATTTTTATTTTTATTACATATTTTTTTTAGAGGCTCACTCTGTTGCCCAGGCTAGAGGTGCAGTGGCACAATTTCGGCTTGCTGTAACCTTTGCCTCCCGGGTTCAAGTGATTCTGGTGCCTCAGCCTCCTGAGTAGCTATGATCACAGGTGCACGCCACCACGCCCTGCTAATTTTTGTATTTTTAGTAGAGACCAAGTTTTGCCATATTGGCCAAGCTGGTTTTGAACTCCTGGCCTCAAGTGATTTGACCGCCTCAGCCTCCCAAAGTGCTGGGATTATAGGCATGAGCCACCATGCCTGGCCTACCATCATTTTAAAAATGAATTCTGGGGCCAGGTACCGTGGCTCACGCCTGTAATCCCAGCACTTTGGGAGGCCGAGGCAGGCAGATCACTAGGTCAGGAGACCGAGACCATGGTGAAACCCCATCTCTACTAAAAATACAAAAAATTAGCTGGGCGCAGTGGCGGGTGCCTGTAGTCCCAGCTACTCAGGAGGCTGAAGCAGGAGAACGGCGTGAACCCGGAAGGCAGAGCTTGCAGTGAGCCGAGATTGCACCACTGCACTCCAGCCTGGGCGACAGAGCAAAACATCTCAAAAAAAAAAAAAAATGAATTCTGGTCTGGGCACTGTGGCTCATGCCTGTAATCCCACCACTTTGAGAGGCCAAGGCAGGTGGATCACCTTGGGTCAGGAGTTCAAGACCAGCCTGACCAACAAGGAGAAACTCTGTCTCTACTAAAAATACACAATTAGCTGGGCATGGTGGTGCATGCCTGTAAATGCAGCTACTCGGGAGGCTGAGGCAGGAGAATCACTTGAACCTGGGAGGCAGAGGTTGCGGTGAGCCAAGATCGTGCCATTGCACTCCAGCCTGGGCAACAAGAGTGAAACTCCGTCAATAAATAAATAAATAAATAAATAAATAATTATTTTTTCTCACATCTTTTGTCTGAACACCCTGAGGCATAAAAAGCCCAAGACATTGCAATGCTTAATCTATGATTAATGCTGCAAATCTATGATTTGCTAACATCCCAATGTTATCTTTAAAATTTTCAAATGTCAGCTTCATTGAGACATACTAAATGCATCATTCAAGGTATACAATTGGCTGAATTTTGCCAGTTTTATACACCCTTGAAATCAGTCTCACAATCAAGATATAAAACATCATCATCCCAAAAGATTCCTAGGGCCCCTGCACAACCTGTCGCCGCCCAGCCCCAGGCAACCCCCGATATGCTTTTTGTAACTGTAAGTATACATTTTATATAAATAATATATACTGTATTATTTTGCCAAGGGCTTCTTCACTCAGCATAGTTTTGTTGTCATGGTAAATTACACAAAACATAAAATTTACCATTTTAACCATTTTTAGGTGGCATTAAGTACATTCATATTGTTATGCAGTCATCACCATCCGTCTCGAGTTTTTTTCGTCTTGCAAAACTGAAACTTTATACCCATTAAACACTGCCTTCTCATTTCCCCTCTCCCTTGAGCCCCTGGCAGCCATCATTCTACTTTGTGTGTCTGTGAATTTGATTACTCTACATATTTCATAGAAATTGAACCATATAGTATTCTTTTGTGTCCGGCTTATTTTACTTAATATGATGTCTTTAGGGTTCATCCATGTTGTAGCATGTGTCAGAATTCCTTCCTTTTAAAGGCTAAATAATCTCTTGTATTTTTACACCATGTTCTGCTTATCCATTCATTTGTTGATGGATACTTGGGTTGCTTCCACCTTTTGGCCGTTGTGAATTATTCTATGAACATGGCATACAAATACCTCTTCTAGTTCCTGCTTCATTTCCTTTGGATATTGGTGTGGTTTGGCTGTGTCCCCACCCAAATCTCATTTTGAATTATAGCTCCTCAATCCCCATGGTCATGGGAAGGACCCGGTGGGAGGTAGTTGAATCATGGGGGTGGGTTTTCCTGTGCTGTTCTCAGGAATAGTGAGTAAGTCTCATGAGAACTGATGGTTTTATAAAGGGCAGTTCCCCCGCACATGCTCTCTTGCCTGCCACCATGTAAGATATGCCTTTGCTCCTCCTTCGCCTTCTACCATGATTGTGAGGCCTCCCCAGCCATGTGGAACTGTGAATCCATTAAACCTCTTTTTCTTTATAAATTACCCAGTCTTGCATATGTCTTTATTAGCAGTGTGAGAATGGACTAATACAGATATGTATGTGGTAATTCCAGGTTTAATTTTTGGAGGTGCCTCCATACTGTTTTCCACAGTGGCTGTACCATTTCATATTACCTTTTATTTATTTATTTTTTTTATTTTTCTGAGACGGAGTCTCGCACTGTCACCCAGGCTGGAGTGCAGTGGTGCAATCTCAGCTCACTGCAACCTCCTCCTCCCAGGTTCAAGTGATTCTCCTGTCTCAGCGTCCCCAGTAGCTGGGATTACAGGCACCTGCCACCACACCCCGCTAATTTTTTGTATTTTTAGTAGAGAAGGGGTTTCACTATGTTGACCAGGCTGGTTTCAAATGCCTGACCTCGTGATCCACCCGCCTCGGCTTCCCAAAGTGCTGGGATTACAGGTGTGAGCCACCGCGCCTGGCCACACATTACCTTTTAAAGAAGGTTTTTCACTGGACCTGCTTCTTGTTCTGATTATCCTTTCTCTTTTCAGAAAACATACCCTTTGACTTCACATGGCCCTGTGTGCTGATGCTCTTTTCCGTCAGTATCAAACCGCAGGCTTTCCATTCCTTTCAGACTGATATAATTGCTCAGAGAATTGGTCAGCCATAATAACGCCAAGTAAAGTTATTACTTAGTTAATTAACCAAGTTATTACTTGGTTATTACAATTTAATGCTGACCTTCTCTTCGCTTCAGCCATTTCCCTCTGTGTCCTACCTGTTTCTCATTAGCTGTAGTTATTATACAGCTCACTGATATCCTATTAACAATGTCATGATACAACCACCTACATCCTATTAACTCTACCTATTATGCCACCTACATTGGTCCTCTTAATTGAATCTATTGTGCCATACATCCTAGTTATCTGCAATTAGCTATATCTGTCAAATAATCTGTCCTATTAATTATATTATCCAATCTCTTGCAACTGTTGTCTGACTTTCTGGGAACCTGTTCATATATCTTTGACGCTACCTGGCTGTGATCTGTTAAAAACTGATCACCTGTTTAGATCTTGTTAGATCCAGATATCAAAAGCCCTGCAGGAAATTACACATATTGATTCTGGGGACCCAGCCTTGAATGTGCAGAGTGTGTAGGGGGCTTCAGCCCTAAAGTACACTCTTAAGAAGGATATTTTCCTTTGACCAATAGCATACTGCCCACCAGGCAGTATGAGCCACATTAATGGGGAGAGAGACAGAGACAGAGAATGTGAGAGTATGTATGTTGGGAGGATGCCTTGTGGGAAGAATGGGGTTGGCATAAAAGGAATGGGGGTTGGGAGTCTCACTCCTGGTGGAGAAGGGAAAGCCTGGAAGGAGAATACCCAGTGGGGAGGGGTGCATGGGTGGGGGACAGTGGACTGCAGGGGGAGGAAGTCAGAGTTTGTCAGGGCAGAACCCTTTTTGACACCAACTTTTTTTGTTAGTGACCAACAAGCCTGCATGACTGTGTACCATAGCAGCCCTTGGAATGTTGCCAGAATGACAGCTTCTCCCCTTTGCTTTCCAGCCTTACCATTCCACTGTTATTTGAGCTGCTGATGAAGATGAGGCTCTGCCCCAAGCCTACCCCTGCCCCCCTGGGCCACATCAGTGCTTGCTTAGCAGGCCCACAGTCAGAGACCTTGTGTCTACAGGCCACCAACAAGAGAGAGTCAATGCCTAGGACAGGGCCAGGCATATAGCAAGGGCTTGTGAAGTAGTTGGCTGAGTAGTGCTGAAGGGTGACATGTAGAATCTGTCTCTTCTGGAAGAGGTGTGGTGTTGACCGGTCCCCTTGCCTGTGTGTCTGAGCCACAGTGATGGGAGCTCTGAAGGCCTCCAGGGAGGATGGGTCCATCTGGAAGCTCAGGGACAGTACCTAACTGCATTGGGATAAATAGTATTCCTCCCGGAATTCACGTGGACCTGGTACCTCAGCATGTGACTTCATTTGGAATCACCATTCATGATGATTCTGTCATCACAAATCTTACTCCTGAGGTTAGGAAAGGATAAGGAGCCCTTGACAGCTGTCTGGTACATGCCACGTCTACTGTCTGTAGGAAGGTGTGTGCTTTAAAAAGTCCAGTGAGCTGTGGGCATGTAACAATTATCAAGTGGTCCTATATTAATCTTTTGTATTTCTAAAACACTTTGTGAAAGCACTACCAAATCTGTGATCTTATTTTATTTGCATGCTTTTAAAAAATTACTCTGAGCTGTCATTGTGTAGATGGGGAAACTGAGGCCCTAGTAGGGTCTCATAGCACAGTCAGGATTATAAGTCTCCTAAGTGCTATCTAGCCACCTCTCTGGATGGCATATACAGTAAGAATGGGGAGAATTTTCACAACCTAGCTATGGCCCGTGCTAAACATGTCTATGCCTCACCTCTGGGCAGTCTTGGGGACAGTCTTCCTTACAGCCCTGTGTGTTACGCGGAAGCTTTCACAGGGTGTCACTTGATAGCCACGGGTGCCAAGCAGAGCTGTGCAATGCCCCAGGCCTAGCATTGTGTAAATGAAACATCCCCATTGGCCCATCTTCACAGCTGGCCTCTGGGCTCCATGTTTACCAAACACTGCTGATGCCTCACTCCAAACACAGCTGGAGTCCAGGAGTGCTTTCTGTGTCCAAAGCCCGCTCCCCTCATCCTGCTCCCTGAACCCACTGAGGAGCAGGTGTTGGCCGGTCCCCTGGCATCTGTGCCTGAGCCACAGTAATGAGAACTCTGAGGGCTTCCAGCAGGATGGGTCCATGTGGAAGTTCTGGGAAAGTACCTGGCTGTATTGAGCTAGTGTTCCCCTGCAAATTCATGTGTACCTGGCACCTCAGAATGTGACTTCATTTGGGAATAGGTTCTTTATGGATATAACTTGTCAGGCATCTTGAGAGGAAATCCTCCTGGATTTGGAGTAGCCTTTAAATCCAATGATTGGTGCCCTTGAGAGGACAGAGGGAAGAAGGCTCTGTGAAAATGGAGGCAGTGATGCTGCCATAAGCCAAGGGATCCTAGGAGCCACCAGAAGCTGGAAGAGGTAAGGAAGAGTTCCTGCCAACACCTTGATTTCAGACTTCTGGCCTCCAGAACTAAGAATACATGTCTATTGTTTTAATCTACTAAGTTTGGTAAGTTGTTATGGTAGCCACAGGACACATACTGGCTGCCTAGCAGGAGGTGGAGCTGTGGGGCTGGTCCTGGAGCCAGGCTGCCAGGGGTCGTCTGCTGCCCTCACCTCTCTTGCCTGCAGGGCCTGGGAGAACACTGTGGAAAGCCAGGCTAAGGCGCAAGGAAGACCAGGGCTTGACTTCCCTGTTGTCACTCTAATCTTGGTAGAGAAAGACTTCTGTGCCCTCCCACCGTTACTATTACTACCTTTTTTTAGTTCCCATGCTATGCCAGGCACTGTGCAAGTCTTTACATCATTTCACTCCATCCTTATAAGGACACTATTCAGTAAGTTGCTGTATCCCTAGTTTTTCATTTGAGATTCATTAACTTGCTCGAGGTTCCACAGCTGGCAAGTGGCAGAGCCAGAATTTGAACTCATCCCATTTAAGAGCCTGCACATATACCACTATGCTACAGTGACTTCCCCATGCCATATTAATAATCATGACAGCTAATGGTTGACATAACAAGAAGAGAACCTGTAATCACCCCCAGGGGCTTCCCGCAGCCTCCTTCCTATTCCTACCACTGTCTGTCTGCCTGCCTCCTCCCTATGCAGCAGCCACGTCACATGATCCCCGTTCCTTGGATGGCCTATAAGGTGGTCTTCCTCTAGTAGCTGGGCCCTGTCCCTTCCCATCTGACAAACTCTTGCTCAGCCCACGTGGCCCAGTTTAAATGTGCTCTGTGCATTCCATCATCTAGTGCTTACCACATGATCATAAATCCCACTGGTGTATGTGTGTGTCTTTCCCAAGTTGGAGTGGGAGTGCCTTTGACATGGGACTGTGTCTTTCCCTTTCGGCATCTTGTATCTTCCCCAGCATCTCTGGCTCTCCAAAGCCCCCAGTAAATGTTTGAGTAAGTGAAACATGCAGAAGACATGAAGATTGTTAAGTAACAAATACTCAGCAGAAAGGGCTGTTAATTTTAAAAAAAGAAGAAAAAGAAAAGAACATCAGATATTCTAAGACAAGTATTTGTAGAGGGAATCACTAAAAGCTTTCAGTTTTGAAAGCAAATATTTAATTTAGGCTCCCCCTTCTGTGTGCTTACAAATGGCACTAAATTCAGTATAATGCTTAATCTACATTTTGAGATTTACTATGGGACTCATGGACTTTAAGAAAAAAATGTAGTTCATTGTAAATGCCTACATTTCACAGTCGTTCGTTTCTTTTAACACACACAATTGGATTGACAAAGGTAATGACTTCCTAGCTAGCCATATTCAAAAGAAATGTCAAAAATTTAAATTTATAAAGCTCTCTGTGAAATGTTGTGATGCCCCAATCAAATGACCCTCCTGATCTTGCCCGGCACCCTTTCCCTCTTGGCTGCTGGCGCCTTCCTGTCTCATTGCCAAGGACAAGCCACGTCTGCATGTCTCTATCCCACCCCTCACCACTTAGAATTCTTGAAACCTCTGGGGAGGCTGACCAAGAAGGACAGAGGACCCTATATTTGGGCTTCTGGAACCTAAGTGCCCCAGGGCTCAGAGCTCCTATTAGTGTTATTTCACATTTACTACAAGTTTAAAAAAAAAAACACACAACGGTGATGATGACGGTGATTTTTGTGTCTTGTCCATGAATCACACAATATTATTCTAGGGGGAAACGTACCCTGATTTCAAACAACTCATCTAAAAGTACAGATTTTGGAACATGACCTACATGTTTACAGTGCCACATGAGACTACACTCAGACTCATGGACTTTTTTCCTTTTTCAATTACTAACTGCTTTAGTCCTCTAAACGTGGATTCTTCTTTTTTTTTTTTTTTTAAACCAATACTGGGTCTAACTCTGTGGCCCAAGCTGGAGTGCAGTGGCACACTCATAGCTCACTGTAACCTCTAACTCCTGATCTCAAGTGATCCTTCCTCCTTGGCCTCTCAAGTAGCTAGGACTACAGAAACATGCCACCATGCCTGGCTTATTTATTATTTATTTATTTATTTATTTATTTATTTATTTATTTATTTATTTATTTATGGTAGAGATGAGGTTTCACTATGTTTCCCAGGCTGGTCTCCAACTCTTGGACTCAAGTGATCCTCCCACCTCAGCCTTCCAAAGTGCCGGGATTACAGGTGCCTGGCTCTAAACATGGATTCGTTAAAAGCTTGCCCTATTTCTTTTTTTTTTTTTTATTATACTTTAAGTTTTAGGGTACATGTGCACATTGTGCAGGTTAGTTACATATGTATACATGTGCCATGCTGGTGCGCTGCACCCACTAACTCGTCATAAACATGGTTTGTGTTTGCAATAGTGCACTCCTCATTTTATGCTGACTCTGATGGGAATGTAGGACTCAATTGCTGAAGTTGTCATTACAGCAGACTTTCCTGGAGGCCTTTGTTGTTTGTCAGGTTGCCTTCTCCAAAAGGGGACAGTTTGCCCATGTGGGATGTCCTGCCCCAAGCATTTCTAACTGCTCTTCCATCTCTGTCCTCCCTCTGCAGGCTGGCCTTGGGTGACCCTCTCTGTCCTGGGATTCCTGTACTGCTACTCCCACGTGGGCATTGCCTGGGCCCAGACCTACGCCACGGACTAATGCTGTTGGGCCCAGGCCAGTCCTTGTTGCTGGCCTCCAAGGCAAATAGTGCTTCACCCTGACCTCTCACTCCAGGACAGCCTCTAAGGGATTTGATCTGCTCATCTTCAGTTGAATGCCCTCACTCCAAGACTGGATGCTGGATCTCATAGAAAATTCACAGCCAGACAATCTTCTAATCTGGAGTCTTTGAGATCTTCTACCCCAACTCATCATTTTCCTATTGAGGAAACGGGTCCAGGGCAGTCGTGTGTCTTACCCAGCTACACAGGGTGACATTTTGGTCTAGAACCTAGTCTCATGAGCCCTTTGCATTCTTTCCCCTTAAGCAAGAATAGAATGTAGTGGAAATTTATTGATTGAGACACAGAAATCCTGATTAGTGATAGGCCTGTCTTCTGGGCAATATTTCTAAAATATTTGAGTGACATTGATGTTTAAGTGACCTCCTTCATCACATCCTGCAGTATCTCCAGAAGCAGCACTAGGGTTTGAGTTTCATGCTTCAGCCCCTCTGTAGGAATGAGACCAAGCCACAGCTGTCTTTTGAATTACGTAGTCGAAGAAGACGGTAGCAGCCCTGTAGCATTCTAAGGCATCTATACCCAAGGAGTCCTGTGATCTGAGCTTCAGCAGGGTGATCTACATTTGGGTGCTTGTTTCTGAGATTTGCAGAGAAGTATAACATGGTAGTTCCTCTACCTTACAGTTAATCGTTTCTTAATAAAGAAGCAGAATTTAGAAACCACAGGATAGTGTACCCACAGATGGGTGTTATCAAGGCCAGTCATGAGGATGGTGTCCTGGAGTCTTGTCCACCCTCTCCATACAAGTCTCAAAAGTCATCCTCCTACTCAGTGATTCACGTTTAGTGGTTTATATTATTAAGGTTTGATTCAAACAGAGCCTTTTCTGTCCTGTAGATAATCTACATGTTTGTAGAATTATTTTGAATATGTTTGAGGAAAATGTTTAAAATCTAAATATACTCACATAACTTGATTATTCACTCCTCTGAAAAGATGCTGGATAGGCTACCAAAGTTCCCAAGTGGTAGATAATTCAGAAGACTTGTTTGAATTTGGATTTTTTTTTTTTTTGGAGTGGGGAAGGGTATAAAGGAGGCTTAAAATTTGAATCCATAATATATCTAATTACAGGAGAATTTACAACATCTCAAGTACGTAAATTAAGTTGTCATTGAGTGAAAGGTTCACTTGGACCTAGTGCTGCCTCCTGTTTATTACATAGCATGGCCCTTATGTCTTGAGTTGAGGTTATCATCTCAATGAGGCTTTAGCTCCTAGAGTACAGGACCATTTTGTTGATTGTCTTTCTTCATAGCTTCTCTGCTTGGCAAAGAGATGGGAGGGGGCCAGATACTGACTACCTGGGGTAGGCACATTATGTGTTAAAGCAAGACAGAGGCCAGAGAGGGGCAGGTAGACCTGCATAGCAGCAGCCTCAGCAGCTGTCTTGGTAAAGGAGAGAGAGAGACATGGGGCCAGTAATTCCGGGGTGCTCAGAAGTTTTAGGAGGGGATGAGCCTCAGGGAGGAGTGAGCACCTAAATGAACGCAGTAAACCTTCATGGACCAACAGTGATTGAGGATTTGTGGGCAGCCAGAGGGAGTCTGACTGAAGTTTACTTGGAAAGAAAGGGCTTGCTAAGAAAAAAGGGAGTAAAAATGATGATAGGGAAGTGTCTAATGTATGTGCACATATAAGTAATACAAAAGTTTTGAGCTCTTCCAAGTATACCATTTATATACAAACAAATAGGTTTATTCATTCATTAAACTACTTTGGAAGCGTCAGTGGATATATTTGAAAGTGGTAATCCTGAATCTCTTTTAAACTATTATATGATTCATAATGGTTCTCAGGAATTAATAAATGATTACTGTGTTTAGCTCTGTATTTGAGGCTGATTAATTAATATGTGGATTATCCAGGACCATTGTTTTGCTTAACCTCTTCCTACTCCCCACTTGTAATATGAAAATGATAATGCTTCTCTCCTCATGCATATTCACTAAAATCTTGTAGTTACTCTGAATGGTGGTGCCTGGGCGCACAGAGGAGTTCAGGCAATGACACTGGACATGTCATCAGCCCTGGGCAACTTCAGGCGCAGTGTTGGGAAAAGAATAGACAAGGTCCCAAGGTCAATTCCAGCGCCTGGATCCTCTGATCCCAGCCTCGCTCTGCAGGCAAGCCCAAGAGCTCCAAGCACAATCGCCAAGATGCTACCCAAGGAGGGAAGCAAGATACCTGAAGGACACCCAAACCTCAGTCATTCTAATTCTTGGGACCACACAAGAAGACTGAAAGGTATTATTTTTTCAAATTAATTTGAAGTGTCAGCAGAAAACATTTTGTTTCATTAAAGACAGCAGGCCTCAAGAAAAAATAAATCAATGAACAAATAATTGTATTATAATCTATATACTGGGAGAATAGCAGTTTAGGTAGGGGAGGGGGTGGCTTCTCCTGACAGAAAGTGAGACTGCTCACTTGCTTATTTAGAATAATAATATAACCATTGACTAAACATAGTAAATTAACCGTAATATAATGAGTTTGGTTTTTAGCAGATGTATCAGAATATATCCATACAATA